>NC_000004.12:148921381-149224411 GCF_000001405.40 Homo sapiens | reverse complement strand
TCATTTAGCTCCCACTTATAAGTGAGAACATGTGGTATTTGGTTTTCTGTTCCTGTGTTAGTTTACTAAGGATAATGGCCTCCAGTTCCATCCATATTCTTGCAAAAAACACGATCTTTTTCTTTTTATGGCTGCATAGTATTCCATGGTATATATGTACCACATTTTCTTTATCCAGTCTATCATTGATGGGCATTTAGGTTGATTCCATGTCTTTGCTATTGTCAATAGTGCTGCAATGAACACATGTATGCATATGTCTTATGATAGAATGATTTATATTCCTTTGGGGATATACCCAGTGATGGTATTGCTGGGTAGAATGGTATTTCTGTTTTTCGGTCTTTGAGGAATCACCACATTGTCTTCCACAATGGCTGAACTAATTTACACTCCCACCAACAGTATATAAACATTCCTTTTTCTCCACAACCTCACCAGTATTCATGGACTTGTGAAAATTTGATTTGTAATAAAGCTGGCACCAGCTTTATTTATTTAACTTTTTATTAATAACCATTCTGACTGTTGTGAGATGGTATCTCATTGTGGTTTTGATTTGCATTCCTTAATGATTAGTGAAGTTGAGCTTGTCTTCATATGATTCAACAATCATGAATGTATGTCTTCTTTTGAAAAGAGTATGTTCATCTCTGCCCACTTTCTATGGGGTTATTTGGAGTTTTTTTTTTTTTTTATAAATTTGTTAAAGCTACTTATAGATGCTGGATATTAGAACTTTGTTGGATGCAAAGTTTTCAAAATTTTTCTCCAATTCTGTAGGTTGTCTGTTTACTCTGTTAATATTTCCCTTCACTGTGCAGAAGCTCTTAATTAGATCCCATTTGTCAATTTTTGCTTTTATTGAAATTGCTTTTGGCATCTTTGTCATGAAATTTTTGCCTGTTCCTATGTCCTGAATAGTATTGCATAGGTTGTCTTCCAGGATTTTTATAGTTTTGGGCTTTACATTTTAGTCTTTCATCCATCTTGAGTTAATTTTTGTATATGGCATGAGGAAGGGATCCAGTTTCTATTTTCTGCCTATGGCTTACCAGTTCTCCCAGCACCATTCATTGAAGAGAGGATCTTTCCCCCATTGCTTGTTTTTGTCAAGTTTATCAAAATCCAATAGTTGTAGATGTGTGACCTTATTTCTGTGTTCTCTATTCTGTTCATTTGTCTATGTGTCTGTTTTTGTACCAGTACCATCCTGTTTTGGTTACTGTAGCCCTGTAGTATAGTTTGACATTGAGTAACATGATGCCCTCCAGCTTTGTTCTTTTTGCTTAGACTTTGTTCTTTTTACCTTGGCTATTCAGGCTATTTGGACTCCTTTTTCATTCCATATGAATTTTAAAATAGTTTTTTCTAGTTCTGTGAAGAATAATAATGGTAGTTTAAGAGAAATAGCATTGAATCTATAAATTGCTTTGGGCGGTTATGGCTATTCTTACAATATTGATTCTTCCTATCCAGGAGCATGGAATGTTTTTCCATTTGTTGTGTCATCTCTGATTTCCTTGAGCAGTGTTTTGTAGTTCTCCTTGTAGAGATCCTTCACCTCCCTGGTTAGCTGTATTCCTAGGTATTTTATTCTTTTTGTGGCAGTTGGGAATGGGATTGCATCCTTATTTGACTCTTGGCTTGACTATTGCTGGTGTATAGGAATGTCAGCGATTTTTGCACATTGATTTTATATCCAGAAACTCTGCTGAAGTTGTTTACCAGCTTAAGAAGTTTTTGAGCCGAGACGATGGTGTTTTCTAGACAAAGGATTATGTCGTCTTAATTTCAAGTCAAACAGGAAGTGTAGTTTGACTTCCTCTCTTCCTATTTGGATGCCCTTTATTTCTTTCTCTTGTCTGATTGCCCTGGCCAGGACTTCCAAAACTATGTTGAATAGGGGTGGTGAGAGAGGTCATCCTCATTTAGTGCTGATTTTCAAAGGAAATGCTGCCAGCTTTTGCCCATTCAGTATAATGTTGGCTGTAGGTATGTCATAGCTGGCTCTTGTTACTTTAAGGTATGTTCCTTCAATACCTAGTTCATTGAGAGTTTTTAACATAAAGTAGTGTTGAATTTTATCTAAAGCCTTTCCTGAATCTATTAAGATAATCATGTGGTTTGTATTAGTTCTGTGTATGTGATTAATCACATTTATTGATTTGCATATGTTGAACCAATCTTGTATCCCAGTGATAAAACCTACTTGATCATGGTGGATAAACTTTATGATGTGCTGCTGGATTCAGTTTGCCAGTATTTATTTTTTAGGATTTTTGCATGATGTTCATCAAGGATATCAGCCTGAAGTTTTCTTTTCCAATTGTGTCTGTGCCAGGTTTTAGTATCAGGATGATGAGTTAGAATGAGTTAAGAAGGAGTCCCTCTTCCCCATTTTTTTTCAAATAATTTCAGCAGGAATGTATCAGCTATTTTCTGTACATCTGGTAAAATTCAGCTCTGAATCCTTCCAGTTCTGGGCTTTTTTTGGTTGGTATAGGCTATTTATTACTGACTCAATTTCAGAGCTCATTATTGATCTGTTTAGGGATTCAATTTCTCCCTGATTCAGTCTTGGGAGGGTGTGTGTGTCCAGGAATTTATCCATTTCTTCTAGATTTTCTAGTTAATGTGCATAGAGGTGTTTATAATATTTTGTGATGGTTGTTTTTATTTCTGTGGGGTCAGTGGTAATATCCCCCTTGTCATTTCTGATTGTGTTTATTTGAATCTTCTCTCTTTTCTTCTCTTTGAGTCTGGTGAGTGGTCTATTCTATTACTTTTTTTCAAAATACCAGCTCCTGGATTTGTTGATCTTTTGAATGGTTTTGCATGTTTCAGTCTCCATCAGTTCAGCTCTGATTTTGGTTATTTCTTGTCTTATGCTAGCTTTAGGATTTGTTTGCTCTTGAATCTCTAATTCTTTTAGTTGTGAGGTTATTAACTTCAGATCTTTCTAACTTTCTAACTTTTTGATGTGAGAATTTAGTGTTATAAATTTCCCTCTTAACATTGCCTTAGCTGAATCCTAGAGATTCTGGTTTGTTGTATCTTTGTTCTCATTAGTTTCAAAAAACTTCTTGATTTCTGCCTTAGTTTCATTATGTACCCAAAAGTCATTCAGGAGAAGGTTATTCAATTTTCACATAATTGTATGGTTTTGAGTTAATTTCTTAGTCTTAATTTCTAATTTGATTGCACTATGGTCCAATGGATTGTACGCTGTTATGATTTCAGTTCTTTTGCATTTGCTGAGGAGTGTTTTACTTCTAATTATGTAATCAATTTTAGAGTAAGTGCCATGTGGCCATGAGAAGAATGTATATTCTGCTGAATTTGGGTGGAGAATGTAGCTATCTATCAGGTTGCCTTGATTCAGAGGTGAGTTCAGGTCCTGAATATCTTTGTTAATTTTCTGTCTCAACGATCTAATATTGTCAGTGGGGTGTAAAAGTCTCACATTATTATTGTGTGGAAGTCTAAGTCTCTTTGAAGGACTCTAAGAACTTGCTTTATGAATCTGGATGCTCCTGTGTTGGCTGCATATATATTTAGGAAAACTCTTCTTGTTGAATTGAACCCTTTACCATTATGTAATGCCCTTGTCTTTTTTAATCTCTGTTGATTTAAAGACTGTTTTTTTAGAAACTAGGATTACAACCCCTGCTTTTTGATCTCTACCAATTGCTTGTTAGATTTTTCTCCATTCCTATATTTTTAGCCTATGTGTGTCATTACACATGAGATGAGTCTCTTGAAGACAGCATACCAATAGATCTTGCTTCTTTATCCAGCTTGCCACTCTGTGTCTTTTAATTGGAGCATTTAGCCCATTTGCATTTAAGGTTAGCATTGGAATGTGTGGATTTGATTCTGTCATCATGATGTTAGCTGGTTATTTTGCAGACTTGTTTATGTGGTTGCTTTATAGTGTCACTGGTCTTTGTACTTCAGTGTGTTTTTGTAGTGGCTGGTAACCGTCTTTCCTTTCCATACTTAGAGCTTCCTTCAGGAGCACTTGTAAGGCAGGTCTGGTGGTAGTGAATTCCCTAAGCATTTGTCTGTCTGAAAAGGATCCTATTTCTCCCTCACTTATGAAGCTTAGTTTGGCCAAATATGAAACTCTGGGTTGGAATTCCTTTTCTTTAAGAATGTTGAATATTAGCCCCCAATCTCTTCTGGCTTGTAGTCTTTCTGCTGAGTGGTCCACTGTTAGTCTGATGGGTTTCCCTTTGTAAGTGATCTGACCTTTCTTACCAGCTGCATTTAACATTTTCTTTCTTTCATTTCAACCTTGGAGAATCTGATAATATGTGTCTTGGGGATGATACTCTTGTAAAGTATCTTACTGGGGTTCTCTGCATTTTCTGAATTTGAATGTTGGCTTCTCTACCTAGGTTGGGGAAGCAACTTGGAAAATATATATTTCAAGATATCATCTCATGGATGACATTGTGAATATGGATCATTCCTATCCATATTCTCAATTATATTTCTGTTATTTCAGCCATCTCAGTTTGGCTCAGAACCCTTGCTGGAGACATGATGTGGTCACTTGGAAGAAAGAAGATACTCTGGCTTTTTGAGTTTTCACAGTTCTTTCACTGATTTTTTATCATCTTTGTGGGCTTACCTACCTTCAATCTTTGAGGTTGCTGACTTTTGAATTTTTTTAATCACATTTGATGACCTTAAGGGTTTGATTTTGGTATAAGGTGGATTTGACTGATTTGCTTCATTTCTGGAAGATTTTAGGAGACCAACCATCAGCCCCCAACTCCTGGACTGCATGCCCTAATTCTAGGGTACTTGTATTGGGCCCTGACTTTGTTCTCTGTCTCCTCAAAGTTTGGAATCCATTGTGCTGGAGCTGGGGGGTGGGGGGACTGAGATGTAGCAGTTGTGGCAGAGTACCAGCAGGTGCCAGGATGTTTGCCTCCCTCCCTGCAGGCATTCATCACAGTGGCAGAGGCAATGCAACTGGTGGGAGGAGTGTGGGGAAAAGCGGGAGAAGGGCCCTTGCTGGAGACTGTGTGCTGTTGCACTGGAGGTAGTGTTAACTTGGAGTGTGATGTTGGCGGGCATAGGTCTGGGTGCCTTCCCTGTGCCCCATGAGCAGGAATGATCACTCAGGGTAGAGGATGATCTGCTGTTATCTTCACAATGTTAGCGCAAGGGCAGGGCACTTGTAGGGTTGGGTCTTACTGGCTCTGTGCCCACCAAGGCTCTATCTGCAGTGGCAGTCAGGTGGGGGACAGACTGCACTCCTGCATTCTGGTAGGGCAAGGAAAGCAAAACCTGCCCATGCAGATATGAGCCAACAGATTTATGTGAGGAGTTGCCATTGGCCCAGGAAAAGCTGCAGTATGAGGAGGGAGCAGGTGAGCTGGTACATAGCCATAGGGGCCACCTTGCTGGAGCTTTCCACTAGTCAGGCACAGTCCATCAGCTCAGAAACTACACTGTGGGCTCCCAAAACACCCAAGACTACCCTGCAAGCAGGCATGATCAGGCTGGGGCCCCTGGAGAGGTCAGCAGACCAACGGGCGCTCAGGTTGAAACAGCCGCAACTGATGGGCTAGACCACCATGTAAAGATCAGGTCCGACAGTTCCCCTAGGACTAAAATCTCCTATAGGAGCAAGTTGAGCCTAGGAGTTGGCCATCCCTGGCTATGCTCCACAATAGCCACTTCCACACCAAACCCTCTGGGCTCCATGTCAGCTGGTTTACTGCCCCTAACACTTCTCTAAGCAGCTCTCCCTGCCAACTTGAGTGTCTGTGGTGGTGAAGGGATCTTATCCTATCAGGGTTCCAGAGGCCCATGGTGAGAGTGGGTTGCTTCTTGCCAGTTCAACTCCCCTGTTCTGCCAGAGCTATTGTGAACCAAAAATGAGTCCTGGTGCATGGTCATCCCATGCAGGTTCCCAGCTTTCTCCCCTTTCAGCCCAGCTTCTGTGTCTTCCCCCTATCCACTCTCAGCACCTTCCTTCTGAAGATCTGTTAAAAGCACTCAAGTCATCTCAGTGTCCCGGTGGGAGCTGTTCCACCTGATTGCATCTTGTCATCCATCTTGCTCTCCTCCTTTGTCAGTTTCTTAAGGTCTAGTCCCAGAAGCTGACACAATGTCATATTACATTCATCAGGCAGTCAGACTCAGATTAAGGAAAGGGGATATAGGCTTCATCTTTTGACAAGGAAGAGTGTCAAAATACATTGTGACTGTGACTTAAAATCTGCCACCAGTTCACCCATGACCACAAATTAATTTATATTCTACCCACATGCAAAATACACTCATACCCTCCCAACACCCCTCCACTCTCAAGAGCCTTATTTATTACAACATCAAGCTTAGGCTCCAGCTTCAGGATCATGTCATGTACCTCAGGTCCAGGTGCAAATGTGGTTCCTCAGTCACAGCTCCTCTGAAACTGAAGACCTATGGATTAAAGAGACATATTTCTCCACCACCCATACAGCCAGCATAGGACACCCACAATAAATATTCCCATTCACAAAGGGTGAAAATGATTGTGATAGTGGCTGGTTCATGACTGGTGCTGGCATATGCTGCCACTTCCTTATCAGAGCCTGGCCCTGGTCCCCAAGAATGATTAACTGTGGCTACTAGATCTACCCTCTGGGTTCTTGGTCCTGTCCTTTTCCATAATAAAAATGAGTTTGCAACTGAATTTCCTTCTCAGCTGCTTCTTGTCCATAATAAGTTGGAAGCCTAAAAGCTCTTTTCATTTTGTACTATCTCTGTTCTTTAGAGTTAAAGCTGGTAGTGCTTCCTCCAGAACAATTATATTTAAATCTGTAAATTTCTATGACTCTTACTGAGTTCACTCCACTAGATAAAAGTTATATCCCAAAATCTATTTGAGATAAACTCTTTCTATTATGGATAATTGAAGGGCAATGTCCTTAATATTCTTAGAAGTACTACTGTTTGATAGAAAAAGCCTGTGAGGTGTGTCTTTAACATCTTTTGAAAATCTTGTGTCTGCTTGAAAGGCTTTATAAGGCTTTGGCTTAAATCTTATAATTTCTTAACATAGGGTCTTATAAGATCACCATAGATTTGACCTTTTATTGGAAGCCATTTTAATCTGAGAATTTTTTGTTATGTAGAGAAGCTGGGAATAAGAGGCTTTTATTTTTCATGTAGCAGATCTTGGATTATTTATATTTCCTCTAAATTTCCTCAAAAACTCAATGGTTTCTTTTTTAGTACATCTCTGTCCTCTTTAAAGTTATAGTAGACAGCCAGATGAAGCCAAGCAGGACCTTTAACACTTTGCCTGAAAATCTTCTTAGCTAGCTAATCAAATTCAGTAGGCGTGTTCTGTTTCCACATTTCTACAGGTGATGATGTTACCAAACTATCTACCATTATATACCAAGAGTCTCTTTTCTACCAGCTTTCAAAAATATTTTCCTTACTTTATTTTAAACTCTCACCAACATTGTTGTGAAGCCCTTCAGACCTCTACTAACATTCTCTTTAACACTTAAGGCTTTTACTAACAGTCTTCTTGAGATTTTCAAGGCTTCCATAAACAAGTTTCTCAGTGCCCTTCCAGCTTCTGATGGACATCCAGGCCAAAATCAATGCCACAGTTTTTAGGTTTTTGTTACAGCAGAGTACCACTTCTATCACCAATATCTGCATCAGTTTTGTATTGCTGCATAACAAACTACTCCAAAACTTAATGGCTTACACAACAATAATAACTTGTTTTGTTCACAAGTATGCAATTTGGGCAGGGCTCAGTGAGGACAGTTCACCTTTCATCTATACCATATGATGTGGAGCAGCTCACCTAGAGATGGAGGATCCACTTTCAATACTGCTCCTCAAATGGCTGGCAAATTAGTGTTGTCTGTTGATTCTTCTCCAGATAAACCTCTCCACAACCCAGTTTGGGCTTCCTCACAGAATGGCTCCTGTATTCCATTGAACGAGAATAAAAGCTGCCATTTTCTTAAGACCCTGTTCTAGAAATTAGCGGCATATTTTGTTGGTCAAGCATTCAGAGTGAAAAGTTGTAGGAATAGGACATATGCTCCAAATCTCAATTAAAGAAGAGTAAAAAAATTAGAGGTCATAATTACCTTTCTATTTGTCTCCTTTTCATTGTCAAACATTCACAGTTTTTGATCCTTGCTTTCTCCTGTTCCTCATCTATCGCTTATTCTTTAATTTGGTAACCTGGCCTCTAGTAATCCTCAGCTACACTGAAAACTACTCTTTACCTTAGTCATCAGTATTTCTCATCCCATGTCACTAAATTAAAAGGGCGCTTTTCAATTATTTTGTTTGGCATCTCAGCAGTCATTGACATTGTTGTATTCACTTTTCCTTATAAATCTCTCCCTACTGATTTCTGTGTCTCCAAGCCTCTCTTGGTTTTCTCTCTATTCATTTTTTAATAAAGAGGTGTGTTTTTCTTAATTTTGAGTGTGGTTCATAAGCGAGGCTAGCTAAATTACTTTAAGGTCTATGCAAGGACATTTGTGGCAAATTAGTGTGGAAAAACTGATTTGTATTTAATCTAACTCTAAAATTTACAAATGTCATTGCCAATTCAGCTTCTAATGACAGGTTGATATTTAATGATTTTATTGTCTATTTTTGTCTGTCAAATTATTTTTTCTTATGTGCTAGCTATGTAATCAAATGTAATGATAGTTTCTGAAGTGTCATGAAAGTAGTTGATTGAATTCTAAGGTGTTTTGATTTTAAAATTCTTCTGTTCTCACTCTGTGGGTTGAGAGATGCAGGAATTCTCCTAGACCAGATTTCTGACCTGCAGAGCAGAGGCTCAAACATCCTCAAGGAGCAAATCACTAAACTATTAAGCAAGAACTTTGAAAGGAATCAATATTTATAATGGATCTTAATGGCTCACTCATGCTAGAAGGACACAGAAATACTCTTTGTATTTCATACTTATTAAATGTGTGTTTGTTTGCTTATATATTAATCTATTTTTTCTCATAATTAAGACCACATACAAAAATATATTCAATAATAAAAAAAATCACAGGGGGAAATGGTGTATGTTATCCAAAGACGCAATAGCATATTATCTTTATTTAAGACAGATCCTGTGTTTTAAAAAGAAGTGTTATTCTCAATGTAAAGTAAAAGTACGCAAATGTATCATTGGAGATAAGAGGGCTAACATATGCTAATTGACTATGCCTAACAGGAAACATAATTATTTTTGAGATGGGGTCTTGCTATGTTGCCCAGGCAGAAGTCAAACTTCAGGACCCTAGTGATCCTCCTGCCTCAGCCTTCCAAGTAGCTAGGACTAAAAGTGCATGCCATCACACCCAGGAAGAAACATAATTTTGATCTTGAAATAATATATCTACTTAATGCTTTAACCCATTAACAATATTAAAACTTACAAATAATCCAACACTTTTTTTTATTGAACATCCCAGACTACTGCTGGGATACAGTGAACAAAAGTATAAGATCCCAGCCCTGCAGAAACTCACCTGATAGTCATTATAAGTTCTTTGATTAGATAAAAGAAGTAGATCTCTATGTTTTAAACTGTGATATAGACTTTTTAAAAATTTGCTTTTATTTTAGAAGTATATAATAGTTTGTGGAATGTTCTGAGTTAATAATCCATTTTGAAGTACTTCTCGTGTGTAATCTTTTAAAATTTTTATTTATTCTATTTTATTTTGCTTTTGTAATTTTATTTTGTGGTAGGAAATTAAAAGAGCCTAAAATAAAGACAAATACTATATTAATAATATTACTGCTATGCCACAAAAGTTTTCTTACATATTTAGAGACAAGAAATGTTTTCCAACTCAAATAAATTTATATTAAAATATCTTACATGAATTATTAGTATTATTTCATTTCTTTCATGAGCCAACAATGAGGTCATTCTGTAGAGGAACAAGGCCAGATTATTATCTTAGACTCTGCAAAGAGAAAAATATGAAAATCTAAGTATTAGGTAGCACTCATGCTTATTTAGGAAGGAACCCATAGTTCAAAGCAAATAAGTGTTCTTGATTATATTATTAAAGCCCAAAGTAAACAGTAACCTACTTTTCCTTTAAAATTTTATCCAAAATTAATCTAGAAACATTCAATTTCAAACATAAGGGAATAATATAACTGTAATTAGGTTATAATGTCAAAAGTACCCATGCAGAAATTAATAGCTTTACCATTTGTAAGTTAAAAGAATCCTGTCCCATTTTATCTAAAATCAGGCCGGGCATGGTGGCTCATGCCTGTAATCTAGGCACTTTGGGAGGCTGAGGCAGGAGTATTACCTGAGGTCAGGAGTTCAAGACCAGCTTGGCCAACATGGAGAAACCCCGCCTCTACTAAAAATACAAAAATTAGCTGTGGTGGCAGGTGCTTGTAATCCCAGTTATTGGGAGGCTGAGGCAGGAGAATCGCTTGAACCCATGAGGTGGAGGTTGCAGTGAGCTGAGATCGTACCACTGCACTCCAGCCTAGGCAACAGAGTGAGATTCCATCTCAAAAATAAATAAATAAATAAATAAATAAATAAATAAAAATCAATTAAAATATGACTCTGCCTTCTAATATTTTTCATGAAGGGATGATTTTGCTAGTTTTTAATTCATTAATACACTGTAAATTGTCTTTCAAGAGGATCATGAAAATTTTAACTCTTTAGCTAGTCTGGAATTCAGTCTTCCCAAACCCTAAATTCATTTTAGGGAATTCATATAACCATAACTACATTTGAATAGTGATTTAAACCCTATCTCCTCCATATACATTGATTTTTTTCCCCAATTATCAGGTTTCAGCATCATCCAGATTAGATAGTTCCAGAAATCCAGATTGAGAAAAACTATCAAGACAAAAACAAACAAAAAATCCTCCATAGTGGGCTTGAAATGAACCCAAGAGATGAAACTTTCATTTGAATTTTTGCTTTCTTTAAACATCTACTTGCCAACATGATGTGGTGAAGGTCAATTGCTATGAAGAAAGTTAATTTGCGAAAGAATGAAAACCAGTGGAAAAAAATGTTTTCCAAAATAAAGTCCAGAGGCCTAACTAATTTACATTGATTCTATAGGTCTTGTGAGGAAAAAAAGTGGGGGTGGGGGACAAATATGTAATTTGGGGTTAATGTCTGCCAACCTGAATGATGACATTTGTAAGGACTTAATTTTTTAATTGCAGTTAACTGTTGGAAAATGAACTGGCTTTTTTTGTTTTTGTTTTTTTGGCAACTACAATGTATCCCTACATCTTTCTGTGCTTTCTTCTCTCTACAAGAACTGTAGAAGCTTATAAACAATGTTTCCAAGATTCTTTTATTCCTAGGATTCTAGTTGCATTTCCCATTCTGCCAAAAAAAAAAAAAGTTGCTCAAATCTAGTAAGAGACATGGGCCTTGGAAAACAAGAGTTTTGTGGGAGCCTCTGGCGTTAGGCATTGCCCTGTGAATGGCCTATGTGAGCGCTCCAGCAACTGGGACATTTGGTAGCAGTTTGGCACCATTCCTAACCTGGGTGTCCAGAGAAACTTCCTGATTCTTTGGAAACCCATGGTAGTCTGGAGAGCTGATATTGTCCTCTCCATTCTTAAATGATGTTTAATACACCAAACTCCTTAGGTTAAATCGCTTTCTGCTTCGAATATCTAGAAACACTATTTCTTTCTCAATAAAACTCTGACTAAAAAAGAGTACTTGTGGCTTCTATACATTGCGGCTTATCAACAATGACTTGCTTTAATGAATCAGTCTGCCAGAGGCCTAACTAGAAATAAGGAAGGCATGAGAGAGTGAATGCATGCTCACTTGAGCTTTCTGATTCCCTTCTAAAGCTGAATAAATACAACATTCTAATTACTTGAAAGTAATGTTTGTATTGACAAAAAATTCACGTAACATAAATTCATCATTTTAACCTTTTAAAAATATACAATGAATTGATCTTGGTATACTCACAATATTGTACAATCACCTATCTAATTCCAGAGCTTTTTCATCACTCCAAGAGAAACCACATATATGCACTGTCCCTTGGTCATCACTAGTCTACTTTGTGTGTCTGTGGATTTTCCTATTGTTGACATTTCATATAAATGGAATTATACAATAGTGGCCATTTGTGACTGGCTTCTTTCACGTAGCATAATGTTTTCAAGGTTCATCCTTGTGGAAGAATGCATCAGTACTTCATTCCTAAAATGGTTGAATCATATTCTGTTAAGTGGATATACCACATTTGGTTAATCCATTCATCATTTGATGAACATTTGGATTGTTTCCACATTTTGGCTATTATAAATAATGATGCTGTAAATGTTTGAGTATAAGTTTTTCTGTGAACATATGCTTTCAGTTCTCTTGGGTATATATTGAGGCATGGAATTACTGGATCATATGGTAGCTCTGTGTTTAACTCTTTGAGTAACTGCCAAACTGTTGTCCACAGTGCCTGCATCATTTTATAGCCTCACCAGCAATATATGAAAGTGTTTCCACATCCCTACCACACTTGTTATTTTCCTATACATAAATATAGGAAATAGTGTTCAGTGGTACCTCAAATCTCACTGTGGTTTTGATTTACATTTTTCAAATGACTAATAATGTTGAACATTTTTTCATTTACTAATTGGTCATTTGTATATTTTCTTTGAAGGAACATCTATTCAAATACTTTGACAAATTTTTAATTGGGTTGTTTTTCTTTATATTGCTGAGTTATGAGTTCTTGATATGGTCCAGATACTAGATCTTTATCAGACATATAATTTTAAAAGATTTTTCTCCCATTCTGTGGGTTTTCTTTTTACTTTCTTGATAGTGTCTTTTGATGTACAAAAGTTTTTAATTTCAATGAAGTCCAGTTATCTCTATCTACTTTTGTTATTTGTGCTTTTTGTATCATATTTAAGAAGACATTGCTTAATTCAAAGTCAAGAAGATTTACATTTATGTTTTCTCCTAAAAATTGTATGGTTTTGTTTTATACATTTAGATATTTGATACATTTTGAGGAACAAATTCGATACATTTTGAGGAACAAATACTTACTTTCACTGGTATTATTTTGTTTTCTATTCTGTTTATGCTCTCCATTACTACAGATAATTAAGAATTAATTTTATTCTGAAATCCTGCTGATTAAGGAAGCTTTGAAGAATGCAGGTGTCAATGCCAAAAGAGTAAATCCAAGCATAATGACTCAAAAAACAAAGTGCTACTAGTTAAACATAAAAATCTGAAGTCTTTCTTTAATGTTATTTAAAATTTCAAATGCATATATGTTTTTCTTGTATGACATATAATTGTAACATCTGAAGCATTTTTCACACTAGATTAAAAACCCCTAGTCTTTTTTCTTTGATATTCCAACCCCAGCTGTAAGATTCTTATATACAGTACCTAGAAATGGGATCTTTCCCAGGATTCTGGGTTGAAAATTTGTTGCTTTACACAATATAAAATACCAACCATATAATTACATTTTTTTTGTGAATTCAGGAGTTTTCGTCTTGAGTCAGACCCAAAGTTCATCATGCCAGCATTCTGTGAACAGTGGTTTTAAACAGTGTTTTGTTGAAAAGCAATGGTGTAACTTCTCTCAATATCAGCTTTAACAATTATGTATACCCAAATTTTTGTTAAGTAGTCATTTTTAGCTCTGTTATTTGTAATACTCTTCCAATTTTTTCAAAATCACTTAGTTATTGCTATGGTTTGAATGTTTATTCCCTCCAAAACTCATGTTGAAATGTGGCAGTGTTGAGAGGTGGGGCTTTTAAGAGGTGATTGGGACATGAAGGCTCTGCCTTCACAAATAGATTAATTCATTCCTAGATTATTAGATTAATGGGTTATCATGGGAGTGGGACTGGTGGTTTTACAAGAAGAGGAAGGGAGATCTGAGCTTGCATACTCAGTTCCCTTGTCATGTGATGCCCTGTGCTGCTTGGGAACTCTCTGCAGAGTCCCCATCAGCAAGAAGGCCATCACCTGATGCAGTCCATCAACCATGAAATTTTCTGCCTCCATTTCTGTAAGAAAAAAATTATTTTTCTCTTTAAATTACCTAATTTCAGGTATTCTATTACAAGCAACAGAAAACTACTAACACTAAGAGGTAAAGTACTTGACCTCTTAATAGGTCTATGTTTGAAGGAAAGGATTCATCTAATTTAAAATTTGTTGGGTTGGAAATACCTACAGCATATTAATTTGGGGTGATTTGTTCATTCATGGAAATGAATCTGATCACAATTGAGTAACATTTAGAATGAGGAAAAAGGCCAAGGGAAAGTCTGCTTGGGTGTGGAATAGATGTTAATATGTAAGTAGCCAAGAGAGGAAGGGGAGCCAGCAACAAAGTTGAGAAAGAAGAGTTGACATAAAGGAAGAACACTAGAATGTGAAATATCCCACAAGCTGGAGAAAAAAGAAATGCAAAACAACCTTAAATATTAAGAAATTTAAAAACAAGAATGTAGTTAAATGTTAACAATTTCCATTAGACTTTGAATAGTGAGACTAGTGGTAATCTTTGCTTGAATTGCTTATTGTGGTATTGTAGAAGTAGATTCTGAACATGAACACAAAATGAAGTCGGGAGAGCATGCATAGACTTATCTTTATCTTCTTAAAATTGGACTTATTTAGCCTGAGAATACTGGGTAAATTCTGGACTACTAGACCTAGCAACCAGAAAGTGCCTCAATACTTCATCTACTTCAACCCCCATGACTATAATGCAAATAAAGACTCTAGATTCTTTACAAAAGATGATGTAATCAAGCCTCAAAGATTTACCCAATGCCAATAGTTAGTTAATGGCTGAATGGAAAGACTAGGGTACCAGGAAGGGAAGTGCCACCAGAGAACATGAGAAGCACATTTCTGTGGTTGATGGATTTCTGGGGATTCATTTTGCTAAATGTTGTTTTGGAAGTTGGAGCTGTGCAATTGCTCATTGTGTATAACATAATGTAAGGTATTTGGACACTGATAACCTAACACAGTTATGCTCTTTAAAGGTTTAAAATGCATTTTCATCTGTATATTTTAGTTATAATGATATGTTGGACTTTTTAAAATCTAAGCATTTACCCCCTCTTTTGAAAATTTATTGTCTACCAAAGGACACACAGTAGATCTAGCTATCTGAGTTAAATGCCTCTGGTTATGAGCCTCCACAGAACCAGAAGCAGGAACAAAATAAGCCCTTTGTACTGCCTATGGCACCACAATAGAGCAGCTACTTGAGCATCAGTATGTTTTGTTGTACAAGGTCTTTATTAGGTCATAACTAAATATGTGTTAAAGCTTTACAAGAAAGAGAAAAATGGAATAAACCTAATAAGCTAACTCTACACAGTGGAAAAATCCTTGATAAAACAGCTTTTAGAATTCAAGTTATTATAAATTTACATAAAAATACTAAAATAATCTAGAAACCTTCTTGGAACAAGATGGCAATTTCAAGGTAGCTACTTACAGGATTCCATTAAATTTCATCTACTCAGCACTGTAAGTGTATACTAGGGTTTTATTCTGTTAATGGGATTTGCTTTGGTTTTAAGACACATCAGTTTCTTAAAGCACCGTATGTAGAAGTAGGCTCCTGCTGTTTTCAAGGTTTTTGCTTTCCTACCCCACCCAAGGAGGACTTTAAGAGAAAGACTAAATAATGAACACATAGAATATGCATCTATGTGAATATATAGCATATAGAGATACCATTCATTTGTTTAGCATTATTAAACCTCTCTCATATACAAAGCATATATTAGGCATTTGGGGGTGACAGATCCATTCAACTAAACAAATAACTATACAACATCTACTATGTTCCAGACACGAATATAAAGATGATTAATCGTGGTCTTTGTTCATAGGGGTCTGATCATCTCTTTTATATGTACTAACTGAAAAAAGAAAAAGTAAAGCAATCATAGTTGCAGATACGCATACTGTAGTTAGCCACTCAAGGGTTTTATTTGCCATGGCATCTGTGAATTACTAATTCGCTGAAGAAGAATGTGAGCATCTCTCTGCTGCTGGTAGGGAGAGTAGTTAGGCTGTGGTTACAATGGTCTAGGCAGGAAACTGCAAATGCCAGAGACAAAGCAATGGAAGTAGAAATAAAAATGGGGGATTATTCAGTTTATATTTAAGTGTTATTATCAATAGGAATTGGTTTTGGATTAGAGACAGTGAAAAGGTGGACTATTCATGTACTGAATTTCACTTGCATTTGGGGCCTTTTTGATCAAGATCTAGCAGTGGCTTCTTGGGGCTCTTTTACTATTTAAAAATTTGATAACAAATATGTATAATCTCCTAGAGAAAGTAGATATACCAAGAAAATTTTGCACATGATATCAAGAACATTATGTTCTCCTTGAAATCCAGCTATGATCTCTTTTGATCTCAAGCATGGTTTATATAAACTTGGATGATTTGGGATTAAATTCCAACTGAAAGAAAATTAATCTTTTCTGCTCTTCCTTTTTATTATTAACAGGTATACATTCATACAATTATATTTATTTGATCTCTTAGGATGTTTTAGGGTCTTCCCATTTATTAATAGTATGCAACATTTCATATTTTGGTAATTGAAACAACTTTCATGAGCCATGCCCATTATACTAGGTACTGCAGACACATCAGTGATCAGAATAGGTGAGATCCTTTGTCATAAAGACTGCAGCATGATTAGAAATGTGGCATATGCTCTGAAAGATAATTGAGGGGTGGTGTGAGGACATTCTCAGTCTAGAGGTAGAGATGGAGGTAGAGAGGTGACAATGTCAGAGAAGGCCAATCTGGGGTAGTGCATGTGCGTACATGAATGAATAAAATAGTGAATGATAAATGAATAAATGAATATTAAGCCCCTATAAGCTCACCTTTTTAAAAATATGTATGTAACACCTTTATTGAGATATAATTCACAGACCATGCAATTTACCCATTTAAATAAGTACACAATTTAATGGTTTTTAGTATATTCATAAAGCTGAACAACTATCCATCACCACAGTCAGTCTTGGAACATATTCAATACCCCAAAAGGAGACTCATATGTATTTACAGTCACTCCGCATTTCCCTCCAGCCCTGAGCCCCTCCCCCACCATCGGCAGGCACTGTTTTCTGAATCTTCAGATTTGTCTATTCTGGACACTTCATATAAATAAAATAATAAAATATATGGTCTTCTGTGCAGACCATATATTTTCAAGGTAAATGTCTTCAACCTAAATGTCTTCAAGGTTCATGCATGCTGTGACATGCATCAGTACTTCATTCCTTCTTATAGCTAGCTACATAGTATTCAGTTGTATGAAGACACAATATTTTGTTTATCCATTCATCAATTGATGGACATGAGGGTCGTTTCTACTTTTTTGGCTATTACAAATAATGCAGTTGTGAACTTTCATGTACATATTTTTGTTTAGGTATATGTTTGTTTACTTGTTTTCTCTTGAATATATACCTTGGAGTGGAATTGCTAGGTCATGTTAACTCTATTTTTACCCTTTTGACAAACTGCCAGACTCTTTTCCGTACCTTTATTTTAAATCTATTACATTTATCTTATTACTTATTTCTCTTACATTGGGTAATAGATCTTTTCTGAAAAAATTCCACTGTAGTTAAATTATTTGCTCATGGAATCTGTGTGTGTGTGTGTGTGTGTGTATGTCCCCTAAAGGAGCTTGATATTTAATGGCATCTGGCTTTTTAACACATATATAAAGCTCTGATTTAGAAAACGGAAAACCCAGATACCAAAGCTGAGTTCTAACACTAACTTATTATGTGACCTGGATATGACTTCTCACCCATAAGGAAGAAAGAAGTTTTTTTTTTTTTTTTTTTGAGAAAAAATGATCTAGCACAATACACACTGGCTAGTGAAGTACATAAGAAGGAAAATTACATCTGGTGCCCTAGATTACACCATGTTTAGACAAGGATGTCCAGAAAACAAACTAACCAAGTACAGATAAATTAAAATTACTTAAGTGGAAGGTCTAACTGGGATATTTGTCATTTAAATTTGATTTATAATCAAAATACACAAGTAATTCAAAGTGAAACTATCATTTTAATCCATCCACTCTCTTTCCCCAGATATTCTTTGGTCAGAGCTTTAGTTCCAGCTTTTCTGTTGCCACATTTTACCTAAGGGTTAAGCAGAACAGGGAAACAGGTAGGAAGATTAAAGAATCTGAACAATCAGTTAACTAATCAGCCACTTAATGTTGATGTTCAGAATTTTAATGCAGAGTCAAGCATTCAACAATGCTGAAATTCCTGGGAAACCAGGTTAGCTGTATTCCTCGAGCTTAGACGGTGTAACATCTGGTATATAGCTGCCATTACTAGTGGTGGGTTGATTTTGTTTTGTTTTGTTTTGTTTTTTAGATAGGCTGATTCTCCAGCCTTTTATTTTTAAAGGAGATAGACTACCTGGAGATGGGAAAAGATGGGCTGGCAAACTGTAATTTTTGAGCTCTTCCTTGTATGGAAAAGAGGGAGATAATATTCAATTAGTATTCAGCATGCATATATTGACAGCCTAGTGCATGCAAAACATTTGTCTGGGAAAGGTGGTGAGTTCAAAGATAAATAATACCCCCTCCTTCCCAAAAACTTATCATCTGAAGCCCACACATAGTTATTATATATGTTGAAAATGTCTAAAGGTCATCATATCAGTAAATAAAGAAGCTAAGGAAATTCAGAGGAAGGAGAAATGACTCCTGCCAGAAGAATCAGAGAAGGGTTTGAAGAGGGGATTTGGTTCCATTTAAAATGAACCTTGGAGGATGGATCATATTCCATCTGGCAGAGGAGGTAAAGCCATTCTAGCCAAAAGGCACATTAGGAGCAAAGGCATATAAAATAAGAAACTCTATCAGGCCTGTTTGGGTAAGAAGAGTTTTATTCAAAAGTATTCAAGAAAAGCCATAGAAAGGATCTTCCACAAATTCTCTGGATATTTCAAATAACATATGAATTGAACAGCCTTCTAAGAATCTTAAAACTCTTTTTCTGCATGACTTTTGGGGGATCCTTTTCTCTTCATTTATTGTCATCCCACTGGAGTAAAATAGAATCTCAAAAGATGGAAAGGGAGATGGTTATGCTTACCATGTGACTTTATGCAAAGAGAAGAATGTTTCTGTCCAGTGGCAATGCCCACATAACATTCCACTATTAAGCCCTTCTTCCTGAAGACAGGGACATCCAGAAAGTATCTTGGATGAATGAATGAATGAATGAAGAGGAGACCAGCAGACCATGGTTTATGGTACAGACAGGAAGTTTAGAGGAACTTCCTTAGAAATGAGTTGTAACATGTTCTGATACTTGCTCTGTGAAATCCCCTGAAGACTGCTTTTGGGGTACCATAGATCATTTTACTACTTCCTATAGAGACCACAGAATTCATGCAGAGCCTGGAGAGATGAAGACAGAAAGGGAGAAAGATCTTCAACAGTTAAATGTTTGCCAATGAAGTAATTTAGCTCTAAACATGCCATTGCCAATACATGAAACTAAACATTTATATTTTCAGTCTGCTTATTGTTTGGCATTGCCATATTTAGAAAAGCAATAGAAAGATGTTCAACATAAAAAATATAATGTATAATCCAAGAGACAGAAGATATATTTTTATAAATGAATAGAATCTAGAATGTAATATGTGTCAAGAAGCTTTCTATAGACTTCAAATGATGTTGTCTTTGAAAGAAGCTATGAAAAAAAGATAGAATTAAAATGATTTAATCAATTTAGTTAATTAATATTAGTAAAATGATAATTTACTCAATTTAATAAATTAAGTACTTTCATATAGAATTTGGACTTTCAAGTCACTATGGGCTTCAATAATTTAAACTGACCAAATCTACAGATAAATATTAAACCTTTGACTATATTACATAATCTGAAACTGTCAATTATAATTTTCAATCTGAAAGATATTATATAAATTAAGCAATTAAAAAGGTAGTTCTGATGACCTTTGTAACTAAATCGAGTCATAAACACAATTGATAAGAGTTAACTTTAAGATAAATAAACCTGAAAGACAAAGCAAGAAGAAAAACAATTCTGCCTTTTTCTCTGTATGAATTGAAACCATATATAATTTTTAATTGCATAGCATGTGCTCTAACCAGTTGTACAAACTATTTATTAATGTCATACCTTTAGCTGTGGCTGAATTTGTTTGCTTTTTGTTTTTTGCCAGAGCTCAGTATTTTGGCATGTTTTATATCAGAGTTTTCTTATGGTGACACAATATTGCAGATACAGGTGGTGCCTCGTGTTCCTCTTGCAGTTTTATTTCTCTCCTTTATGCAGTGGTAACCACTAAATTGAGTTTAGTGTTCTTCACTTCCATCACTCCTCATTCATTGGATAAATATTTTTTAAAGCCTCTTACGGCCCAGGGTCTCTTCTCTGTCCTGGAGAATACAGCAGTGAACAAAACAGACAACAGTCCCCAGGCTCATGGACTTTATATTCTCATGTGGGAGTGGACAGGCAATATGCAAATAAGGAAGCAAATTATTCTGACAGAGGTGATCATTTTATCTGAAGGATGACGTTTAACACTAAAATTTATCTTCATATAAAGTGCATGGGGCCAATTATATTTATTAGTCTTAACATGTACACCTCAGAGTCGGTCAATGGGATTGTTTGTGAATACTGCCAAGCACCTCTGTTCATGTGTAGTGAAATTTGTATTGCCCTGAAAATTCCTCAGTGTTTATAAATAGTCTAATCTTGAGTGCATAGACCAATTACACAGTCACAAGAGGCACCAAACTTGTTGTACAGTGTCCAAACTTTAGTGAATTCACTTGGCTTGTTGTCAGCAGTCGACATCAGATATCAAGCTTCTGGCAGGAGCCTGCATGAAATCATCTCTTCCACCTTCACTTGACCTCTGCCCAGAGGCTGTAGAGCTCAGCTGTAATGTTTCATAATACATCAAGACACATCAATTCCATGCCAGCCTGCCCACCATCCTGGCTGAGCTTAACTAATAAGTAAAGAAAGCAAGCTGAATTATGAGAAACAATGTTTTCACCCCATTAGGATGTTTATTAGATTTCCTACTTAATATGATTTTTATTTGAGGAAGAAAAAACAGCATCCAATCTAAAATCAAACCCTACTGTCAGCATTTAAAAAATTGTTTTATCTGGGGCAATAGCTCTTTTCTATTTTTACATACCAATCATTATCAGAGGCAAGGTCAAAATTATAGGATATAAAAAATAAATATGAGATGTTTGTATGCTATTTCTTGTCTGCTAAGAAGCAGAGTATACTAGTAAGAAATCTGTACATTTCAGACAGATTTTTAAAATTCCATCTGAAATAGTAAATCTAACTGATATATTGGAAGAGTCATTCATTGAAAACTGTGTTGTTTGATGCCAGTATAAATATACAGACACAACAAGAATAGATTTGGAGCTATTAATCTTGTACCAATCTTAATCAAAGGGCATTAAGATGGGATTTCAACTAAGTGGACTAATAAACAGCAAAACTCCAAACAAAAAATCCTAACCCGAACAAGTTGAAGTAGTTTTATAATGTGTCTGTTCTCTTAGTGATAATCAGGAATGAACAAATATTCACTGAGAATCTACTTTGCATGTGCAAGTCATTTTACTAGTGAAGGTGCCATTATTAAAATGCCATTTTCTTTGCCTGGAGAAACAAAAGGGATGAGCAAAGGATTCTGGAATCTCAGAAGTTTTTGTAACTGTAGAGATCACTTACTGGTTCACCAAGTTGAACAGCTTTTCACTGAAACAACAGGACCTTGCTGTAGTCACTGGGAGGTCTGAGTTTTGGAGAACTCACAAAAGGACTTTCTTCCTTCATTTAGTATGTCTCAGCATTCTGAAGGTTGTCCAACTCTGGGAGCTCACCAAGTTTCATTTCATCCATTAGGCTGGGAGTAAAGAACAAACCTGCAAATTCTGTCAAAACTGGTGATGTATGGCTGCTGAGAAATTCAAATTGCTTTAAGTGTGGGAGCCAACAAAGTAATGTCCAACTACAGGATGAGATCACATCATGCACTCACTCTTTATGTGAGCTGCTTTCTATATGCATGGGGGAGAGCCAAAGCATGAGTTCATTGAAGAAATGGTGAAGAGCTTCTCCTTAACTCTCTAGCTTCCAACATGAATACGACCATAGACCCTACTTTGGATGTCTCTAAACATTGACCTGCACTCCACTTGGTCCTACTAATGATAGGTGAAACAGATGCATGCAGAACAAAGTTCAAACTCAATTTAGATTGCTGATTGGACTGAGATTCCCAGGTGTACTATCATCTTATCAGCCAGGATGGTCAACATTCTCCTCATTTATAAAGTTTGGCTGGAATGAGTTTAAGAATCCTGTTGTAGCAACAGCCTTGAGTGAGTTGTCCAAAATACATATTGTATATGTAATAGCAACAAGTGCATTTTGGAGAAGTAAAACTAAGGTGTTGGTTTATGAGGAGAGTTAAATTTTTTGAGACATTTTGCAAAAGCATTTGGCATATGTAAAAGCATTCAGCTCAGGGCAGTTCGGATGCCTCCTCTCCTCATTTGTACCAATTATTTCTAGATTGCGGAAGACAAACTATGTTCACAAGAGGGGAATGTTATGTCCATTGAAGGATTAAAACAATGTATGGTCATCAGGAAGAGGTTTCAACAAAACTTAGCCTCACATAAAAACAGTTTGGATAACAAAATGTAGTAAAGTACATTTGTGGCTCTTATCTCAAATAAGGCTTTCAAATTTGTATTAGAGTATAAGAGATTCTCAGAATTCATGGGGAATATTCAACATGGGCCTGAAATAGTGATGGAGAGGGGAAATTATGCAAGATAGGGACTGATAGAGAGGCTTTTCATGGAATGGTGATATGACCTCGGCTATCATGCGCCTCCTTTTCCTTTCTTCTTCACAAGCTTGTCCTTGTCCATGCTCTCTCCCCACATCTAAGGCTGCTGAGGAAATTACAGAATGTCCAGTTAAATTTGTATCTTGGATCATTGAAAAATATTCATTCATTGAAAAAATTATATATTGTTTATCTGAAATCAAGTTTAACTGAGCATCCTGTGTTTTTATTTGCTAAATCTTGCAACCCTACCAATATCCCATCCATTCCATCCTGCCCAAGCTTAATAGCAGATGGAGAAAAGGATTGTCATTAATATCAGCCAAGGAATGCTTTGCCAAATGAATCAGGTTGGACTTGGTACCTCTGGTTTTCTGCCCATCCCTATCCTTGCCTCCTCCCCAGGACTGGCAGCTTTTCTCTTAAGTTAATGTTTTGAGTAAAGTACTAAATAAAGTGGTTAAGCCTCTTGTGTTCTAGAAACTGTCACAGGTAAGGGGCCCCTACACTATCTGTGAAGAACACTTATTCTCCATGGGAGGAGTTGATGGGGTCAGCCTTTAGGTTTTTGTTCATTCTTATTCAGCAAAATAGAATCTAGCAAGCACTGCTGTGAAATCACCCTCTTCGTTTGGCTCACTAATATTTGCATATGAATGCTTTGGATATTAAGTAGAATCTTGAGAAAAAAATGAAAACATTGCTGTGTTGCTACTCTCACACATTTACCATGGGGGAAAATGTTTTCAAATATGCATTGCTTTGGACAGATTTATGAGATAACTATAAGAAGAAGAAGAAAAATAAGCCTTATGTATTGTTGTGTACTCACTGAGTATAAGACTGAAAACGCTTGCACTAAAAAATCCATGATTGATTGATGCAAGCCATGGAAATGTGTCAAATTTAACAGCTTTTATGAACTATTTTGCAAATTGCACATATTTTCTTTTCTTATGTAAAAATTTAAATTGGCAATAAATTGTATCTGTTTTAGTCTCAGTAAATTACATAAATAACTTCCATGATATATAGAATTTCTCATGAATGCATCAAATGTTACAATACATTTTCATCTTTACTACATAGATCACATATAGAACGTAGAATGTACCTAGAATGTGAACTGTAAAGATGTTAAAATGTAGCACATACTGGGAAAATAAGCATTCCTTTGCAGATTGGAATGAATGCCTTCCAAGTGATAAGACAAAATACCACAAATCTGCTAATAAATCTGCCAGTAAACTTTCTTTCCAAATGTACAAAGGGAAAACAGTTACCTTATAAAGATTAATACATAAATATGCCTGTTTATTATGCCTCAGAATATCTCTTCTGCAAGTCTCTTTAATGTTCAAATCCAATTCTACCTAATTTTAAGTAATCATTTTTGTTGTCATCTTACTCTTTTCTTACCTGTGAGGCTGTCCCAAAAGTGTCAGCAGCTGCACTTATTTTTTTTTTCAGATCTTTAAACCAAGACTTTTTTTAAAACCAAGTCAGACACAGAAAGACAACTGTCACATGTTCTCACCCATAAGTAGGTGCTAAAACATGTGTACACATGAATAGAGAGGGTGAAATGATAGCCGATAGAGACTAGGAAGGCTGAGGGGGTGGAGGATGAGAAATTACTTAATGGGTACAAAGTACATCATTCAGGTGATGGACATCCTAAAAGCCCTGACTTGACCATTACACAATCTATGCGTGTAATGAAATTGCACTTGTGCCCCATAAATTTATATATTTAAAACAATTTTTTTTCTCATTAGTGTCCATCCGTAAAACTTAAATATTAGAACATATTTCACTTTGCTAACAGAAAAGAGCCAAGGTATTTACTTTGTAACTGTATTTTACTTATGCACGTTACAAATGTACGTTGAGCAGACACTTTTTATTGCCTGTATTAAACTTCTTTTCTTTTAAATTGATTTAGAGGTCTGTTTAAATGTACTTTAAAATTGTAAAATACTTTAGTAAAATTGATAAATATGAATATTTCAGAAATGTGTTTTGTATGTGAAATTACTCAGGTGTCACAGCTGGCTGAGGATGAAATATCCAAAGCAAATGAGCGTGAATTAGATGCTGCCACAAAGATCAAAGGACTGAGGTGGAGAAGAGACAATGATTTTGTCTGATTAGAAAGAGTTTTATGGGCTCATGATCACACACAAAAAAATGTAGCCTAAGTATTTTAACTTTTTGTTTCTGATTTTGTGTTTCTTTTTCTTTCCAAGTCTAAAAAAAGCAGAAGCTGGAAGAGCCAAGGTAGGCTAGGGCAGAACTCTTGGAGCAGAGATGACAACAATAAACTGAGAACAATGCTTGTCCTTTATTAATGGTAAGTGGGGAGGGAGGATTACCTTATTATAAGGGGTTATCAAGAAAAATGAGCTTTAAAAACTCACTGCTCCAGTGCCACAACACTAGACTCTGAGTCTAACCTAACCCTAATTTTTCCCCAAGGGAGAGGGATTTGCCTCTTTGAAATGATTATATTTGGGGGATAAAAAGTGTTCTGTATGGAAAATGAGAGTTAGATAAGTAGTAAGTGATGACAGTTGAAAATTCATGAAAACAGTCCTAAATTGTGCTTAGATTATTTATTTCTTTAAAGCTTTCTCAACGTTTATATAACCTTGTTATGTAGTTGATATAATACATTTCCCTAAGCTTAGCAAAACACCCAGAAAGAAATATGTAGAACTTAACATCTTGACTTTGCAAACCCGTATCTCAGTTTAAAATAGAGCAACAGAAATAAATGCACAATGACCCGTAAATCTATTACTTCCCCCCGACCATTCTCCCTCTCTCGAAGTCCAGTTGTACACTTCTGTGTACCTATCAGACATCTCTGCCCCAAATCTGAACAAATGTTTGGGCGACTGTCTTTGTTCTGTCACTTGCTTTTCCTGCAGTGCTCTGTCCGTCTCCCCTAGTCCTTCCATTCTGTGTATTGTCTCACCAGAGTATTCTGCTCGGCCTCTCCCTGACCATCTTCCCGTTCTCAGCACCACCATATACCCTCCTTCCGGTCCCTCTCAGCTGTCACTTGACCTATTTCAGCACCTTCAACTTAGTCTTCCTGACTCCAGTCAGGGATGTGAACATTCTGTTTGATTAAAGAATCAGACACATTACTAAAAAATTCAATTGCATGTGCAGTTGAGTTGTGAATAATCATTATCATTTAAGCAGATATCCACGTAAAGTGTATTCACAATAATTTCTCAACAAATAACTACGTTGAGTTAGGATTTTCAAGGAGCAGTTTTTGTGGATTCGTAGAGTTTCTGCTATCTGGTAGATCTGACATGCCCTATTTCAGTTCACCCAATTTCATTTAACACTAAACTAAATGAGGGAAAAAACGTCTTTCTAATACAAGATTTTAAAGAAAATTATATGGAAGAATAAACACATTATCTATGCAAAGACTCCATGTTGATAAGTATAATGTAATAGGAAATAATTGAGAAGAAGTGATATATATATATGTTAAAATATTGATTAATCCTATTGAATGACAGACAAATTTAAATAATAAACAAGGGCCTGAAAGACTTTTAAAGTCTTTTGCAAAAAATATGAAGATCAGTAAAAAATTGTTAAATTTTAAAATTCCAACTGAAAAAGATTTTCTATAGTATAGAGTTGAAGAACAGGATACTAGTGCTAACATGCATGATAATAGAGGGTAAATTGACAACTTGGGATGAATACTGATTAGAAAAAAATATGTGATTGTTGGAATCAGTGCAGTTTTATGCCAAGATCTGAATGAAAATTGAGGAATGGCTAGTGTTTTAAACTTTCAACTTCAAAGACTGTTCATAAAATGGAAGATGTAGACAGGTCCGTAATTTACAGGACATATGTAGTTAATGAAAATGTTTCTTGTCTCATTTAAAGAAGTTCCAATAATCTGTCCTTCTGCATATAGGCATTTCTTATTCTCATCCATAATGGATATAAGGCCGGTTAACATTTAACTGGCACACAATTGCAAAGCACTTTGCAAATATAAAATATTATGTAAGTGCCATAGAATCCATTACTTAATACTCAATCTTCAAGCAACAATTAATGAACAATGCAGTATTATAGAATAGTCTTACTAATGGAAATTTAACTTCCCTTTAGCTTTGGAAGATTTCAGAACATTACATAATTGTGTAAAGTCAAACTGAATTTTAATCCATACATTATTTATGCTATTTGGTTGTCTGGCTTTAAGTAGAGACACATATATAATATTTCATACATAGTATTATATACGTATGCATATGTAAAATCTCCCATTTCCTGCATGGGGTAATAATTTTCATTCTAGAATTTATATATTTATGGCCTTACTACTAAACATTTAACTCGTATACGCCCTGTGCTGAGCATTATCTGTAATTTGCAAGAGACTCAGGCTTCTCGAAGCCAGTATCACTAAATGATCCTTCTATGAATAATTCAATGAAAAAATATAATTTTTTAGTCAGATTTTGAGGAGAATTTTATTTGTAAAAAGAGCCCTGGGAAATTGGCAAAGCTGAAGATTGCTATACTGTGACCCAAGACTCTAATACAGGCAGGGGCTACTGTTGTATCACTTGCAAATCCACTCACTGTTTTCACGTTGTTTGAATAGATGAGATTAGCCTCAACAGCTATACCAGTTTTCAATGTTTGGCACTTTCAGTATACTCCTGTCTTTAAGAAAAAAGTGGGAGACAATGGACACAAAGAACTTCAGAAACTTTGTCAGTTCTCAGAACTCCTAAGTGTTGTGCAGGCAGATGAGGTGAAGGTGAATTTCAAGAATGAAGATCTTGAGGCACAGTACCCTTTCAGTGAACTGAACAGATTTGAAAATGTGTGGGCCTCATCATTTTCAACAAAAAGCTGTGCTCATCAGGTTTAAGAAGAAAAGTTTGATCAACCATCTCCTACTGCTTTTGGTATTTTTGTTGCTAAATAGATTTTTAGGTACCTCTAAAGGTGGTAATTTTGTTGGAATTTAGTTGACTTCACTACTAAATTAAACCTAATTTAGGAACTCTTTCATAGTAGTTTTAGGCCACCATTCCAGGACTCTTCAGAAGAAAAGAAGAAATGAAAACATTCTGTTCAACAAAGCCCAGAATATTTCTGCAGCATCTGACCCAAGTGGAATAATTTATTCATTCATTCTGTCATTTATTCATTCAAAAGACATTTATAAATTGCTACTATGTGCCAGCCATTGTGTAAGAAAGTAAACATGATGGGGATGCATTAGAAAGTTCACAGTGGAGATTTAAAAATAAACAACTATCATACAATAGGACAGCTGGAGAGATAGATTTATGTATGACTAGGGGTCTCTAACAACCTGAAAGGTAGGTGGGTGAAGACAAGTTATTCTGAATATGTGACTTTCAGTTTCCAAGAATGAGGCAGAAAAGATATTCTTCTTAGAAGAGATAGAAATATCAACTTTCAGGCAGGAGATAAGATTATAAGTGCACACAAAACTTGTTCTTGGAATGTAGAAGATATATGAAAGAGTAGCAGAAAATATAGCTAGTGAGAGAGGCAGAGATAAGATCACAAAGGCACTTGTATGTAATACTGAGTTTGAACTTTATCATGAAGACACTAAAGAGGCACTAAAGAATAGTTATTGGACGGATGGATGAATAAATGAATATACAAGCGAGACAAGAATACTTTTAATACATTTCCAAAGTGGAATGGAAATCTTTGGTAGCTTTGATGCTCTTATAGGTCTAACACACATATACACACAAACAAACACACATATAAGTGTGTATGTTTATATATCTATGTGTATATATATGTGTGCATATACATACATATATATATATATATATATATATATATATTTAAAATGATCTGTAAACAGCATCAAGCAAAGAACGTGTTCACCATAGTGTCCTGGGCCCTAGAATGGGGGGGCCTGGCACATAGTAGATGCTCAATATATAGTTGCTGATGAAATGTATGAATAAACATATTTTAAGCAGGAAAGGAAGCCATATCTCAGAATATGGAATGGAAAACACTATGGAAAGAGGAGCACCTAGGGAGGATCGGCATGTTAGTGTGGTGATTTGAAGAAGAAATGATGAAATGTTGGATTAGGAGCCTGAAGACTGAAAGGCTGAGAGAGACTATAAAGACACTTGCAGAACTTAATTGAAAATGAGATGATGGAAATCAGGGAGTGATAGAAAAGCAGGATAACTTCTAGGTTTCTTGTTTGGACTAATGAGTGGATTTCAGGCTCTCCCTCAGAGAGGGAATTTAAGAGAATAAAAATATTTGGGATGTGAAAGTAAAATTTTATTTTAGATGTGTTGATTTTAAACTCTCCGTGAGACAGCCGGGGATTTCAAGAAGGTGGCTTGATCTGTAACATTAGGAAATCTGAATTTTAAATGGTAGATGAAGCTAAGGGGATACATATTTTTCCAAAAGAATATTTAAAGAAGAAAAAAGATTGAGTGAGGTGATAGGAAGAGGACTTGCTCTATTTTCTGTAAGTTAGTCCTGAGGTCTTTCTCATGAGAGTGGCCATAAGCTCTAGCTCTGCCCTGACTAGTAATCAAAAGATTCAATCATGGATGTTTACAATGTGCTTCTCATGGGATCCTTTTTTTATCCTGGTAGACACTCTACTGCCTAAGTGTCCAACCCGTGACCAGGTGGCCCTCTCACAGAAAATTCTTTATGCTGGCAAATGCCGTTGCTGCTCTTGTCTGATCTCTGTCTTATTTCTAGTAATGTAGCCACTCTCAATGAGAGCCCTAACTGGGAAAGAAGTTAGGTTTGGGTGTGTTGGTCACATGAGACCCAGAGGAGGCAACTCAACAAAACACATGAAATAACAGAACCATTTTCTTACGCACAGATCCCAGAGAGACAAGGACAGCACCCTTTACAAAGCCAATTGGAAGGGGCATGGAGAGTCAACCAGCAGGTAAGGAGCAAGAGAGATAAGAAGACCTAGGGACCACGGCATTCACTGAGGTCCAAGGCATTATCCAAGCAGTTATCTCTCAGGGAGTTCTGCTTGGTGGGTTTAGAGCAAATAGAAGTGAGTTCTGTGGAGTCACACTGTGACTGAGAGATGGTCACTGTGGCATATCTGCACAGTCCATGCAGGATGCAGGGCCCCATGGGGTGAGTCAAGTAGGTTGTATCTAGCTGTCCTATAGGAAGGTGGTCACCAGAAGATGGTTGTTTTAAGGCAGATATCTAGGTCTACCACTTTGAGGAACTGGAAGGAAGCAGAGAACTGGAAATTGTGTCAATGGTGGCTAAGCCCTGCTTCTGTTAAGAGAAAGTTAAGCTTATATTGAAATGGATGATGAAGCAATATGAAATTACAAGAATTCACTTCAAGACGTCATATAGGAGGTAGAAGAAACATTCAGAGAGGTGGAAGAAGAAACCAGGAAAGTGTGGGGCCTCTGAAGCTAAAGGAGAAAGTAGATACATTTTTATTGTGCATGATGAATTTTAAAGAAAACTGTTAAATACAACGTAGAGACATAAATAAGAATAAAGCAAATAATCAAATAATTGGACTTTTCTTTCTTTAATGATTACAAGGGCCCTAGATTAGATAACTTGTCTAAACAGATCTTTACATAGAAAAGTAACCCAACTTTGATATTCCCTTCTGTTTAATTCACACAAAAGAACAGGAGTTCTCTTTAACCCTGTGTCCCTCTAATATACACGAAGAACCTGGTGACAAAATATTCACAAACTATGGATATAATAGGGAGACCACAGCATTCTTATTATAAGGGCTATAAGATTCAATTTTCCTCCCTGGACACTCCCCCATCTCCACCATCATTTATCAATGCAGTGAAACCAGCATTTATTGAGTACTTATCACGTTACAGGCTCTGAAAACTTTATGCAAATCATGCCATATCTTTTAATCTTGAAAATAATATTTTCTCCAAATAACCAGTTTTGCCCCATTTTACATAAAAGAAAACAGGCACAGTTACTTAGCTGGCAAATGAAAAAGTTGGAAATTGAATATAAGCAGTTAAACTTTAAAGGCTGTACTTTTTCAGCATCATACTATACTTTTTCAGCATCAGCAGAGTAATGATCAAACACCCCTTCAATCAGAATAGTAATTGCAGTTTTTAAAAAGTGTACCTATTTAGCACAATAGTGAACTGTATAATTATATACTCTTTGAGACACTGGAAAATATCCTTGGGAAATGCCTTAGCTTGAGCTCTCTTTCTTTTATACACCAAGAATAAAGAAAAGTTTCACGTTTCAGTTAGGAGGAATATTTCTAGTGATCTATTGCACAGCATGGGTGACTATAGTTAATAATAATGTGTTGTATATTTCAAAATTGTTGGAATGGTAGATTTTAAATGTTCTCATCACAAAGAACTAAGTATGAGAGGTGAGGGTCATATTAATGACCCTGATTTAATCATTCCACAATGTATACCTGTATCAAAATATTACATCGTAACACATAAAAATATATAATTATTATTTGTCAATTAAAATGTAATTTTTTAAAAAAAGATTTAAAGTTATTGATATGTTAAAACATTTTTTTAAGTTTGCTAATGCAATTAAATTACAGTCTATAATTCATCATGCTTTCTCAAGTCCATTTACATTATTTAAATTATGGTTTTCTAGGCATGCTTTTATGTAAAATCTGATAAAATGATGAACTGATCATTTACACTCTCTAATTAGTATTATTACATAACTTTGCTTATAATTGAAAGCTAGTGATTTGTTTTTCAAGATGGTAAATTTCTGACAGACAAGAAAATGAAAATAATACCAGAAGCTAAATTAATTTATTACCATCTATGTTAAACTGAAAAATCTCTGTCAGCATAGAAATCATGTAATCTTGATGGAAAATGATTTTAGGACTAAGGAGAAGAATATAAAAAAGACATAATTCCAAAAGAAAATAAAAATCTAGAGAATTTTTAAAATTTTTATTTTATTATTATTTATTTTATTTATTTTGAAGCGGAGTCTCTCTCTGTCACCCAGGATGGAGTACAGTGTCACAATCCTGGCTCACTGCAATCTCCTCCTCCAGCGTGCAAGCGATTCTCCTGTCTCAGCCTTGCAAATACCTGGGATTACAGGGGCCCACCACCATGCCTGACTAATTTTTTAATCTTTTTGGTTGAGATGCAGTTTCACCATGTTGGCCAGGCTGGTCTTGAACTCCTGACCTCAAGTGATCCACCTGCCTCAGCCTCCCAAAGTGCTGGGATTACAGGCATGAGCCACCGTGCGTGGCCTAGAGAATATTTATTTTTAAGTTGCTTCAACTAAGAAGGTAGATACTATATGTAGACACAAAGTGTTTAGAATTGTTCCAGTTCATAGACAAATGAAGACATATTTTCACTGGATGTAAACACAGATGAGTAAGAATAGGAGAGTGATTCAATAGGAAGAACCATCAATATGAATTGATAAATATTTAATCATGAATAACGCATACATCTCAGATGATGAATAATGAACTGATTATTCTGGACATGAATAGAAACAGGAGAGGAATTTGTTTATCCTAAGTAATATGGGAGGCAGCATTCACTATTTTATGACACCAGGTAGTATTACTTGCTTTTACATCCTGTTAATAAATATGAAGCCCAACATAGCTGTCTTCAGTTTGCAGTGAGGTAAGAATTTTGAAGAGAAAGTGACGTTGATCCTGCTGCAATGATTTCTTTAGAGTTTGACATTGTAGCTCAGCGTATGAAAAGGTGAGTGTCTTCATGATCTGCATCTTCAATGAGGGTGTTTTAAATCATCAGCATATTTAAATAGGAAAGGACATACAGGATCAACATCTTAATTTCTCTGCAATTGCTCAGTGACTTACCCTCTGATTTAACACATGTACCCTTTGTACAGATAGCTATCTGTTTCAGGTCTATGACACTTTTCTTTAGACATGATGTTTCTTCTTTTCTTTTTCTATTTCCTTTTTATTTTTGGGGTGGGGGTGGTGGGGGGGGTTGTCTTTGCTCTGGAGCAATGGTTCTTTGCCAGTGCCTCTCTGCCTACTCTCTCCCCTCTGCTCAACCTCCTCCTTCCTCAGACATTACAGCTTCTTCTAGAGGTAGAGACAGCAGGTGGCGGTGATGGAGAAGGTCTGTTCATACTCAGAATGGGATGGATTTTGGAGCCCTTTTCTCTCTGTCTGAATATTTTGGAACTGTTTTCCATAGTTATGAAGGAATCTTGCTTCCTGGCCCCCACTCACTAACGTTTCCCCCCACCATCCGTCTGTGAGCATTGCTTTGTTTCTGCGATCACTGAACTGAAACCAGTTGAGTGTCAGCACTTATCCCATATGTTCATTAGCAGTGAATCTGTAATTAATTTCTTGTGGTTTAAAGTTAATGAAACTCTGTGTGTGTGTGTGTGTGTGTGTGTGTGCTGTGTTTATGGGTTTTTAAATGACTGCTTAATTATTTTTCTTAGTGTTGCCTACATTCATAATAAAGGGACCTTGTTTTGTTTGGCTGTTTACCAGTAGATTTTTTGTGTTGCATAAATCTACAGTGTAGATCACATCACATGAAAGGAAGAGTTTTACTTTTGAGCTACCTTGTTGATTTTGGGGGCAAAAATATTTTACTGGCACATTAGTAAAACCCATTAAACTATTTCATAGGGAGACTGATACACGTTTTCACATATTTCTAGAAAACCACAGTAAAAATAGACTATGAAAAGCATACAGACTAGTCATGTAATATTAGATATTGTTTAGGCAGGCTTTTCTTAACTTTTTTAGTTGATTGATAGCTGATAAAAAACAAATGATAGATTTAAAAATTAAAAACAGTGCCAGCATAATCCCATTTTATATGTGCACATATATATATATATATATATACACACACAAAACAATACTTTCTACAATGCTTTCTATAGTTTTCTACAATGATCATGTATTATATATGTAATAGGAAATAAAAACAAAAAATACTCTGAATGTAAACAAAAGCATACATCGTGTTGACTTTTCAAAAGACATTAATACTTGATGTTCTTCCTATATATTTTCAACCATACCAGCACTTAAAGAAATAGGAATTTACTAATTTAACAAATATTTATTGAAAGTATACTTTTTACAAAGAAATATGAGAGATTCAAAGACAAACATGGCCTGGGAGGGCTGATGAATGGGCAGTTGCAGTCGGGGGAGTTAATATCGGAGAAGGTGTGCTGGACCTAAAGAAGCACATGCTCAAATTTCTATCACACATAGAATTTTTCAGGACATTTCTATATAATAGCTCTAAGGTGAGAAAGAAACTAACACGTGTTAAACTTTCTTGTCATAAAAAGACTTACACTACAGATTCTAGAAACTCCAGCTATTAGGGAAAATAGCAAAGAACTATGAAATTTTTAACCTAAATATTTGAATATTGAGGAATCAAAATAGGCAGAGGATCTGTTTTACCCCCTTTTTTTTGTTGTTGTTGTTGTTTTTTTTGAGACAGTCTCACACTTTCGCCCAGGCTGGAGTGCACTGGCGCAATCTCGGCTCACTGAAAGCTCCTCCTCCCAGGTTCAAGCGATTCTCCTGCCTCAGCCTCCCGAGTAGCTGGGACTACAGGTGCCTGCCACCACACCCAGCTAATTTTTTGTATTTTTAGTAGAGACAGGGTTTCACTGTGTTAGCCAGGATGCTCTCGATCTCCTGACCTCATGATCTGCCCGCCTTGGCCTCCCAAAGTTCTGGGATTACAGGCGTGAGCTACCATGCCCGACCTGTTTTATCCTTTTCTTGTGATTAACAACATGAGACTAGGAGTCAGAAACCCATGGGTTTAAATGCTGGGTCACTGTTTGCCACCATGTGACTAGGAAGAGGACTTAGCCTTTCTACTCCTCATTTTTAACAAGTTTTGAATGGTTTTTACTGCATAAGTTTGTGGTAAGCATTAAAAGAAAAAATATCCTAAATAATTTATGACAATGCCCAGCCAAAAAAATCATAATAATCAGTCAATAGTTTCAGCATCACCAGTATTTGTATTTTTACTGGCTTGGAGGCAAGTTCCTCATACGTCAAAATAATTGTAACTTTCCCTTTGTGAACCTGAAATAGGAAGTTTCCCATTCTCACAGGGAAAAGGAGCTGTGTAAAGAAAAATCTGGAGAGACGTGCCATTTTGCTGACTGTAAACAAGGGCCAGAGAAATGGCCCTTGTCAGTGATATGCATTACAACAGTCCTCTCTCTTAATTCAGGAAAAGATTCAGCTGCCTATAGTTCATTCTAACCATGCCAAGTGCCTGTCTTTTGGGTTCTGAGTTGTGTGAGTTGTATATCATTCTAGAGTCTAGTTCTGGAGAAATTTCTTTGATATAGGCTATTTCAATTTGTTGTAGTAAGGCAACTCTAATTCAGAAAGGCCAAGGAACACATCATCATTGTAGCAAGAGTCTAGGTAAATTAGGAGGTCGGCGGCGGGGGTGGAACTGTAGCAGATTAATGAGGCTCCTGGTTGCTAGTTGATGCCAAGACCCTGGAAAGACCTGAAGATCTCACTTAAGCATTCCTAAAGAATGCAATGGAAAGAATGGAACATCCACCAGCTTCTTATGCTTCCAAAAAGCAACAAGTCAGAATTATCTTGCCTCAAGCAGTTTGGTAGAAACATCTACTTCCTCTTCAAGCAGTTTGGTAGAAACATCTTCTTCCTCTTCTTAGACAAGAAGATACAATTTCCTAGCCTCCTTTGTTGGGCCTTTGGTACCCTGTGACTGAATTCAGGTCCACAACATGTGGGTGAATGCCATGAAAGCCATTTCCAAGTCTGGCCTTTAAAAATATCTTACACAATCCCCCATCGTCTTTCTTTCCCAGTCTAAGTATCCTTGGGGACTACACATTCTAAATCACACAGCTATGGAATGGAAGAGACTCCTGACCTATACCAGACTTTACATGAAGAAGAAAAATTTCTATACTGTGCTACACCACTGAAATTTTTGAGTTTATATTTGCTATTTCAACATAGCTCAGACTATCCTGGCACATGTAGAGACTGTAACTCTCCAAGTGTCAAGGAGAACGGTTGCGAGAACTACTCGCAGAATCATATTTTTGAAAGCTTAAGTCAGATCATACTTTTTTTATAACCTTCCAGTGACTTCCTCTTATAATTAGAATAAAATCTGAATTCCTGGCATGGTAAGACCCTGCATAACCTGATCCCTGTCTCCCTCTCTGGCTTCCTGGCCTACATTTCCCCTTTGAATTCAACTTTTTGAAATCCTTTGAATAGGCCATGGATGTGTCAGAACCAAAGGTCTGAGCACTGACTATGACTTCTCCCTCAAATGTCTTTGCTTGAGAATCCACAAGGTGGGCTGTTTCTCATCCTTCAGGTCTCTGTCACTTCCCCACTGTTACTCACTCCTGGTGAATTCACTCATGGAGAATTTCTCTCCCTTTATCCTGTATTGTTTTTTTTCTGAATATTTGAAATGTTGTTATCTAATTATTTACTAGTTAATTGTCTGTATCTCTCACCTTTCTCACTAGAATATAAGTCCTGTGAGGTCAGCCACCCCATTTGGATGAAGTCAGACACACCCTGTGTCTAAAACAGTGTCTGACACATAGCATATATTCATGGGTAAATGGTTGCTTACTTAGTGAAAGAAACAAGGTTGTTGGTTTTTTTTTTCACTCTTAAATCCAAGTGGCAATATCACATAAGCGCTATGATTCCATAGGTCTGTGTAACAAACAAACAAACTAAAGGCAACATTACAAGGAGATATATTAGAATATACTTGTACTAGGTTGAATACTGTCCCAGAAAATTTCATGTTCATCTGGAATCAGTGATACAGATGATACAACCCCTTTTGCAAATAAGGCCATTGCAGATATAATCAAGTAAAGATGAGGTCATGCTGGATTAGAGTGGGCTCTTAATCCAATGTGATTGACATCCTTTTAGAAACAGGGAAATTTGGGCACAGAGACACAGACACACAGGGAGAACACCATGCTAAGATGAAGGCAGACCTTGGAGTTAGGGCATCCCAAGCCAAAGACCACCAAAGCTTGCTGGCAGCCACCAGCAGCTAGGAAGAGGCAGGAAAGGATCAGCCTTCAGAGCCTTCAGAGAAAACATGGCATTGTTTGTGTGTTGATTCCAGATGTCCAGCCTCCAGTGAGAGAATACATTTCTGTCACCTTAAGCCACCAAGTTTGTGGGGCTTTATCGCAGCAGCCCCAGTAAGCTAAGCAACAAAACAAACCTCAAAAAGTCTAATTTAAAGCAGGGTGGTATTGACGTAAAGAAATCAGGGTCTTAGAGGAAAAAGGAAGACGCTGAAATCAATTCAGCTGCATAACATTTTTATAAGAAAAAGTAAAATATGAAAACAAAGCAGAAGCAATGTCCATTTTAAAAACTGTATGGCTAGAACTGCATAGCAATTGACCAAAAAAAAAATAAATAAATAAAACTCAAGTGGGGTTATACTAAATTATACTTTTCCTTCTAGAATTACCTTCCCCTTTAATTTAAGTAACAATAAACAAAGCCTTATCCTATTGGACTCCAGGAAAACTAATCTCTCGTCCAAGTATTTCTGAGTATGAGACTCTTTCCATGTGTTCTAAGGGTAGAGTATTCTAGCAGTGTAGCATTCTTTCACAAACTTCACCTCCAAAACATGAATTTGGACATTTTATTATTACTCAGATTGTAGTTGCCTTCATAAGACTGAGGCTGGAAGCTAAAATAATGAAGTGACATTGTGGAAAATAAATTAAAACTAAAAATAAAATATTCTAGTTCCCAGCATCCATGGTTCGTCCCAAGATAATCCTAGAAGGATTTTGTTTATAGGCTGTCCTTCATCGGTTGCAGTCAGCCACCATATTTCTGAGGCAAACCATCCACCCCTCAGGAGAGTATTCTATTCCAAGTCGTCTTGTTTTCAAGTTCACATCCTCCCAGTCAATTCCAACACTAGCACCAGTTGTAGAGGCCTTGCCAGTGAAAGCTACAAATTAGTGTCATGAAAAAATCTCAGCACCAGAAATATACATCTCCCCCTTCTAGAGTAAATCCCAGAGATCATGGCTTTCCCTCTTACAGGATGTAAAATGTAACGACTTCTAACTGAAAATAATACAGAATTTTTAAAAATCTATAGATGAAAGTCTATTTGTTGTATTTGACACAACAAAGTAAATTACAGGACACTGAAAAATTAATATATGCTTAAAATGCCTATGTAATAAAAATAAAATTAACATAAAAAGAAAAAGGGTGTTGGAAATCTTTGGAATAAGATTGATAAGGGGTTGCTATCTGTCATATCAAAAGAACTTTAACATTTACTAGAACAATAGCAAAATATCAAGAGCATATATTTTGTGCAAATTTGTGTAATGGTCTGCTGAATAGGCATGACACAGATATCCGGGAGTTTATTCATAAGGATGGAGACTCAGGTACAACACATAAAGTATAGAGAGGACGAATGGGGATTTTCAAACAAGCGATTTCCCAGGTAAGACACAGAGTAACTGTTTTCTCTGCACAAAATCAGTAGTCTTGAGGGAGAGGAGAAGATGGCAACAGGATTTGCTTCATGAGGCCATAGATAATTGGCACAGTACCTTTTTGTCTCACAGTAAATGGGAGAGTCCAGCACATGGCTAAGGTTAGGCTACTGAACTCCAGTGGGGCTCCCCAAATAATGCTTTAAGGGTGGGAACAACCCTAAAACTGTCCAGGACTCACTACTGAGGCCAAGAAATCTGAGCAGAAAAACTCTCCATCTTTTCAGCCACACCAAGTAAATAGGAAGATGAAGGAACATTGCAAATTGACATTACAAGGAAAAGGAAAGCATTTTGCTTAGTATTTGGTTTTTCCTCATCATTTTACATGGTCTTTTTTTTAGGTTGTTGTGACATTTTTCTGAGTTATAAAATGATTGATAGTCCTTGTAAAAGCTTCAAAGAAAATATAGGAACGTGTAAATAAAAAATAAATATGACTAATAATCCCATTACTTTTTAACTGATAACTTTTTTGCGTTTTATATTTCTATCTAATCATTTCTATTTATACATCTCTACCAATAGCTATAGGGATATGTATAGGAAAAACAACCTTTCCCCCTCTCTACTTGTGCTATGGTTTGAATATGTGTTCCTTCCAAAACTCATGAAATTTAATCCCCAATGTGGCAGTTTTGAGAGGTGGGGCCTTTAAAAGGTGATTGAGTCATGAAGGCTCTGCCTTCATGAATGGGTTAATAATGGGTTGGTGGATTAATGGGTTCTCATGGGAGTGGGACTTCTGACTTTATAAGAAGAGGAAGGGAGACCTGACCTAGCACACTCAGCCCCCTGGCCATATGATGACCTGCGCTGCCTTGGAACTCTGCAGAGAGTCCCTACCAACAAGAAGCCTCTCACTAAATGTGCCCCCTTGACCTTGGACTTTGCAACCTCTATAACTGAAGAAATAAATTTCTTTTTTTAAATAAATTATCCAATTTCAAGTATTATTTCATATGCAACAAAAAAACAGATGAAGACAACTCTTAACCCTTCACTTTTGCTCACCAAAATGTATGAGGATTTTTTTCATGCTGATCAATGCTCCAATTCTCTGCAGACACCAATTAGGTGTCCTACAATTTTTTTTTTTTTTTTTTTTTTTTTTTTTTTGAGACAGAGTCTCGCTCTTATCACCCAGGCTGGAGTGCAATGGCACAATCTCCGGTCACTGCAAGCTCTGCCTTCCCAGTTCAAGCAATTCTCCTGTCTCAGCCTCCTGAGTAGCTGGGATTACAGACACCCACTGCCACGCCCAGCTAATTTTTTGTATTTTTAGTGGAGATGGGGTTTCACCATGTTGGCCAAGCTGGTCTCCAACTCCTGACCTCAGGTAATCCACTTGCTTCAGCCTCCCAAAGTGCTGGGATTACAGGCATGAGCCACCACGCCCGGCCGGTGTCCTATAATTTAACTCACTTCTAACACTATCTACCTGGAGATAGCATCAAATCCTGAGTTAAGGACTCAGGCTCCACAATACTGCCCCCCACTTCAGATGCCACTTGCAAGTCTTAGTCGTCACCAGTGCTTCTGAGCAAGCAGCTATAAAATCAGAAGTTTCCACACCTTCTCGTTGGGGTTGATCATTTAGCAGAATGTCCCCCCAGAACTCAGGAAAACAATTCACTTATTAGATTACTGGCTTATTATAAAAAGCAATGAGAGAAGAGATGAGGAGCTTCCCTGGCCTCTCTGAATATGCCATCCTCCCCGCACCTCTACGTCTTCTCTAACCTGGAATCTCCCTGAATCTGTCCTTTAGGGTTTGCCTCTTTTTATGGGAGCTTCATTACATAGGCATGGTTAATCAAATCATGCCTTGTTGATCATTCTCTAGCTCATCTCCTCTCTCCTAAGGTTAAGAGGTGGGGCTGAAACTTCCAGCTCTCTAATCACATCCTGAGGCTGTTCAGGAGTCCCTAGCCACCAGTCATCTTATTAGCATTCAAAAGGATACTCTTCATTCCAGAGATTCTGAGGGTTTTAGGAACTGGTGCCACAGAACAGGGGAAGAGACCAAATATATATTTCTCATTATGCCACAGCATATATCTGAATGATGTATGTGTATAATATTCCATCATAAGGATATATCTTAATTTAGAGAATCATCCCCCTATTCTTTAGAAATTTTGATTGTCTGCAAGGGTTACTATTATACTTGTATGATATATGTATATAATATATAAAATAATGCAAAATTTCATTATAATGAAATTATATGTAAGTCTCTATACAGCCCTCTCATAATTTTAAAAAATGCATTCCTAAAGCATTTATGCTAAAGTTAATGGCATGAATATTTTGAAAAGTCTTAATAAACATCATTAGAATTCACTCCACAAAATTGCACCAACTTAAATTACTACCTTCAGCAAATGAGAATATCTTTTACTATGCACTTTCCAATACCAGATATTAACATTTTGCTTTCAATTTTTGTTAACTTGATAGTTTAAAAATATGTTTTAATTTTTATTTCTTTATTATTAGTGAGGTAGAACACATTGGATTCTTTTTTTCTGCTATTCAAATTCTGATTGTAAATCAGTAACAGGAGAAATTGTATGATTATAGTACATTAGGAAAAAAATAAAGGAAGCTATTAAATTGGAGTTAATAGATATTCCCAAGTGTTCCACATACAAACAAAATGGGAAACTTGGAAGAACTATAATCTGGACCTTTTTGCACATAAAAGCATAAAAATTACACATAAAAAATTGAACTCTCTAGCATCAAAGACATACTAATATATATAATAAGTTACAATTTATAACAAAAGGTGAATCAGCCCCTGTTAAGGACCCACTGTTGTGTCATTCTAGAGTTGCTATGCTAGGGATGATGTCTAATAAGGGAGGGAAGGATCTGGGTGATAATAAGATGTGGCTGGGGAAGAATGGCTAATTCTGAGTAAAAGTGAATTATCTGCTGTTCTAGATAGCAGTTACAGACTTTTGTAACCATTGAAGGGGAAAAGATTACACAATGTCAAGTTAAAATAGAATCTTTTCTGCCATGCATTACATGTACTTATGTCCAGGATTTACCAGGGATAGAGTTTAAGAACAAGTGTACCATGTAGAAGGCTTTAGGTTAGGATATCTTCCTAGACATGGCAGGGAGAATGGCTAACCATTATCACTGGCTGCAGCTGATTTTGGTTTTGTAAAGATGCCAAAAACATCCATGCTGCCCTATCTTTGTTTGCCTAAAAGGAAGAAAACTGTAGCTTCATCACAAGATAGATGGCAACGTGATTGACAGAAGCCAATGGAAATAGATAACATAATACAATTTACTTTACCGTCGATAAAGATATGGAAACATAACTGCATTAAAGCTGAAGTTGCCCCTACAGTGCATGGACCACAGCAGCACTCCTGATCAAAGTCCCCAATTTCCAGGCATATGTCTTCATGCTAATAACACTTCCTTATCACGGTGGGGACACCACCAAGTCATTCAAGGTGCGTCCCGGTTCTGTCTTTTTTTTCTTTTTTGAAATACCTACACCCTTCCACCCATGCTGGAAAACCTGGCTGTGAGCCTCTCTATCCTTCTGTGAGGTATAAGTAACTGGTAGTGATGTAGGCATGCTGCTGAATATTTACTGTGAGGTGAGTGACTTCAAGACCATTTCCCAAGCACATGATCCCCAGCAGCTCTAGGTTTTATGCTTTCTGCAGGCCTAATTCTAAAGTTATAAAATGACAGGTACACACTGAAAATGTATTAACTTACTGTAGTTTTTTTATTTATTTATTTTTTATTATACTTTAAGTTCTAGGGTACATGTGCAGAATGTGCAGGTTTGTTACATAGGTATATACGTGCCATGGTGGTTTGCTGCACCCATCAACCCGTCATCTACATTAGTTATTTCTCCTAATGCTATCCCTCCCCCAGCCCCCCACACCCTGAAGGCCCTGGTGTGTGATGTTCCCCTCCCTCTGTCCATGTGTTCTCATTGTTCATCTCCCACTTATGAGTGAGAACATGCAGTGTTTGGTTTTCTGTTCCTGTGTTAGTCTGCTGAGAATGATGGTTTCCAGCTTCATCCACGTCCCTGCAAAGGACATGAACTCATCCTTTTTCATGGCTGCATAGTATTCCATGGTGTATATGTGCCACATTTTCTTTATCCAGTCTATCATTGATGTGCATTTGGGTTGGTTCCAAGTCTTTGCTATTGTGAATAGTGCCACAATAAACATACGTGTTCATGTCTTTAGAGTAGAATGATTTATAGTCCTTTGGGTATATACCCAGTAATGGGATGGCTGGGTCACATGGTATTTCTAGTTCTAGATCCCTGAGGAATTGTCACACTGACTTCCACAATGGTTGAACTAATTTACACTCCCAACACTGTAAAAGCGTTCCTATTTCTCCACATCCTCTCCAGCATCTGTTGTTCCCTAGCTTTTTAATTATTGCCATTCCAACTGTCGTGAGATGGTATCTCATTGTGGTTTTGATTTACATTTCTCTAATGACCAGTGATGATGAGCTTTTTTACATATGTTTGTTGGATGCCATAATCGTCTTCTTTTGAGAAGTGTCTATTCATATCCTTTGCCCACTTTTTGATGGGGTTGTTTGTTTTTTTCTTGTAAATCTGTTCAAGTTCTTAGTAGATTCTGTATATTACCCCTTTGTCAGATGGATAAATTGCAAAAATTTTCTCCCATTCTGTAGGTTGCCTGTTCACTCTGATGATAGTTTCTTTTGCTGTGCAGAAGCTTTTTAGTTTAATCAGATCCCATTTGTCTATTTTGGCATTTGTTGCCATTGCTTTTGGTGTTTTAGTCATGAAGTCTTTGCCCATGCCAATGTCCTGAATGGTATTGCCTAGGTTTTCTTCTAGGGTTTTTATGGGTTTTGGTCTTACATTTAAGTCTTTAATCCATCTGAAGTTAATTTTGTGTAAGGTGTAAGGAAGGGATCCAGTTTCAACTTTCTGCATATGGCTAGCCAGTTTTCCTAACATCATTTATTAAATAGGGAATCCTTTCCCCCTTGCTTGTTTTTGTCAGGTTGGTCAAAGATCAGATGGTTGTAGATGTGTGGCATTATTTCTGAGGCTTCTTTTCTGTTCCATTGGTCTATGTATCTGTTTTGGTACCAGTACCAAGCTGTTTTTGTTACTGTAGCCTTGTAGTATAGTTCGAAGTCAGGTAGCACAATGCCTCCAGCTTTCTTCCTTCTGCTTAGGATGGTCTTGGTTATGTGGGCTCTTTTTTGGTTCCAAATGAAATTTAAAGTAGTTTTTTCAATTCTGTGAAGAAAATTAATGGTAGCTTGATCGGGATATCATTAAATCTTTAAATTACTCTGGGCAATATGGCCATTTTGATGATATTTGTTCTTCCTATCCATAAGCATGGAATGTTTTCCCATTTGTTTGTGTCCTCTCTTATTTCCTTGAGCTGTGGTTTGTAGCTGTCCTTGAAGAGATCCTTCACATCTCTTTTAAGTTGGATTCCTAGGTATTTCATTCTGTTTTTAGCAATTGTGAATTGGAGTTCACTCATGATTTGGCTCTCTGTTTGTCTTTTATTGGTATATAGGAATGCTTGTGATTTTTGCACATTGATTTTCTATCCTGAGACTGCTGAAATTGCTTATCAGCTTAAGGAGATTTGGGGCTGAGATGATGTGGTTTTCTAAATATACAATCATATCATCTGCAAACAGAGATAATTTGACTTCCTCTTTTCCTGTTTGAATACCCTTTATTACTTTCTCTTGCCTGATTGCCCTGGCCAGAACTTCCAATACTATGTTGAATAGTAGTGGCGAGAGAGGACATCCTTATCTTGTGCCGGTTTTCAAAGGGAATGCTTCCAGTTTTTGCCCATCCAGTATGATGTTGGCTGCGGGTTTGTCATAAATAGCTCTTATTATTTTGAGATACGTTCCATCAATGCCTAGTTCATTTAGAGTTTTTAGCATGAAGGGCTGTTGAATTTTGTCAAAGGCCTTTTCTTCATCTATTGAGATAATCATGTGGTTTTTGTCATTGGTTCTGTTTACGTGATGGATTATGTTTATTGATTTGTGTATGTTGAACCAGCCTTGCATCCCAGGGATGAAGCTCACTTGATCATGGTGGATAAGGTTTTTGATGTGCTGCTGGATTCGGTTTGCCAGTATTTTATTGAGGATTTTCATATCAATGTTCCTCAGGGATATTTGCTTGAAATTTTCATTTTTTGTTGTGTCTCTGTCAGGTTTTGGTATCAGGATGATGCTGGCCTCATAAAATGAGTTACGGAGGATTCCCTCTTTTTCTATTGTTTGGAATAGTTTCAGAAGGAATGGTACTAGCTCCTCTTTGTACCTCTAGTAGAATTTGGTTGTGAATCCGTCTGGTCCTGGACTTTTTTTGGTTGGTAGGCTATTAATTGCTGCCTCAATTTCAGAACTTGTTATTGGTCTATTCAGGGATTCGACTTCTTCCTGGTTTAGTCTCAGGAGGGTATATGTGTCCAGGAATTTATCCATTGCTTTTAGATTTTTTAGTTTATTTGTGTAGAAGTGTTTATAGTTTCTCTGATGGTAGTTTGTATTTTTGTGGGATCAGTGGTGATAACCCCTTTATCATTTTTATTGCATCTATTTGATTTTTCTTTCTTTTCTTCTTTATTAGTCTGCCTAGTGGTCTATCTATTTTGCTGATCTTTTCAAAAAACCCGCTCTTGGATTCATTGATTTTTTGAAGCGTTTTTCACGTCTCTGTCTCCTTCAGTTCTGCTCTGATCATAGCTATTTCTTGTCTTCTGCTAGCTTTTGAATTTGTTTGCTCTTGCCTCATTAGTTCTTTTAATTTTGATGTTAGGGTGTTGCTTTTAGATCTTTCTTGCTTTCTTTTGTGGGCATTTAGTGCTATAAATTTCCCTCTACACACTGCTTTAAATGAGTTCCAGAGATTCTGGTATGTTGTGTCTTTGTTCTCATTGGTTTCAAAGAATATCTTTATTTCTGCCTTCATTTCGTTATGTACCCAGTAGTCATTCAGGAGCAGGTTGTTCAGTTTCCATGTAGTTGTGTGGTTTTGAGTGAGTTTCTTAATCCTGAGTTCTAATTTGATTGCACTGTGGTCTAAGAGACTGTTTGTTATGATTTCCGTTCTTTTGCATTTGCTGAGGAGTGTTTTATTTCCAATTATGTGGTTGAATTCAGAATAAGTGTGATGTTGTGCTCAGAAGCATGTATATTCTGTTGATTTGGGGTGGAGAGATCTGTAGTTGTCTGTAAGGTCTGCTTGGTCAAGTCCTGGATATCCTTGTTAATTTTCTGTCTCATTGATCTAATATTGACAGTGCAGTGTTAAAGTCTCCCACTATGATTGTGTGGGAATCCAAGTCTCTTGTATGTCTCTAAGAACTTGCTTTATGAATCTGGGGCTCCTGTTTTGGGTGCCTATATATATTGGAGAGTTACCACTTCTTGTTGCATTGATCCCTTTACCATTATGTAATGCCCTTCTTTGTCTCTTTTGATCTTTGTTGGTTTAAAGCCTGTTTTATCAGAGACCAGGATTGCAACCACTGCTTTTTTTTTTTTTTTTTTGCTTTTCATTTGCTTGGTAGATCTTCCTCCATCCCTTTCTTTTGAGCCTATGTGTGTCTTTGCACATGAGATGGGTCTCCTGAATACAGCACACCAATGGGTCTGGACTCTTTATTCAATTTGCCAGTCTGTGTCTTTTAATTGGGGCATTTAGCCCTTTACATTTAAGGCTAATATTGTTATGTGTGAATTTCATCCTGCCATTATGATGCTAGCTGGTTATTTTACCCATCAGTTTATGCAGTTTCTTCATAGCGTCGATTGTCTTTACAATTTGGTATATTTTTACAGTGGTTGGTACTGGTTGTTCCTTTCCATGTTTAGTGCTTTCTTCAGGAGCTCTTGTAGGGCAGACCTAGTAGTGACAAAATCTCTCAGCATTTGCTTGTCTGTAAAGGATTGTATTTCTCCTTCACTTATGAAGCTTAGTTTGACTGGATATGAAATTCTGGATTGAAAATTCTTTTCTTTAAGAATGTTGAATATTGGCCCCCACTCTCCTCTGGCTTATAGAGTTTCTGGCGGGACATCAGCTGTTAGTTTGATGGGCTTCCCTTTGTGGGTAACCTGACCTTTCTCTCTGGCTGCCCTTAATGTTTTTTCCTGCATTTCAACCTTGGCGAATCTGACAATTATGTGTCTTGGGGTTGCTCCTCTTGAGGAGTATCTTTGTGGTGTTCTCTGTATTTCCTGAATTTTAATGTTGGCCTGCCTTCCTAGGTTGGGGAAGTTCTCCTGGATAATATCCTGAAGAGTGTTTTCCAACTTGGTTCCTTTCTCCCCATCACTTTCAGGTACACCAATCAAATGTCGGTTTGGTCTTTTCACCTAGTCCCATACTTCTTGGAGGCTTTGCTTGTTTCTTTTTACTCTTTTTTCTCTAATCTTATTTTCTCACTCTATTTCATTGAGTTAATATTCAGTCTCTGATATCCTTTCTTCCATTTGATCAATTCGGCTATTTGTACTTGTGTATGCTTCACGAAGTTGTCATGCTGTGTTTTTCAGCTCCATCAGGTCATTTATGTTCTTCTCTAAACTGGTTATTTTAGTTAGCAATTCGTCTAACCTTTTTTCAAGGTTCTTAGCTACCTTGCATTGGGTTAGGACATGCTCCTTTAGCTTGGAGGAGTTCGTTATTACCCACCTTCTGAAGCCTACTTCTGTCAGTTCATTAAACTCATTCTCCATCCAGTTTTGTTCCCTTGCTGGCGAGGAGTTGTGATCCTTTGGAGGAGAAGAGGCATTCTGGTTTTTGGAATTTTCAGCCTTTTTGTGCTAGTTTCTCTCCATCTTTGTGGCTTTATCTACCTTTGTTCTTTGAAGTCAGTGACCTTCAGATAGGGTCTCTGAGTGGATGTCCTTTTTGTTGATGTTGATACTATTCCTTTCTGTTTGTTAGTTTTCCTTCTAACATTCAGGCCTCTCTGCTACAGGTCTGCTGAGGCTTGCTGGAGGTCCACGCCAGACCCTGTTTGCCTGCATGTCACTGGTGGAGGCTGCAGACCAGCAAAGATTGCTGCCTGTTCCTTCCTCTGGTAGCTTCATCCCAGAGGGGCAGTTGCCAGATGCCAGCCAGAGCTCTCCTGTATGAGGTGTCTGTTGGCCCCTACTGGGATGTGTCTCCTAGTCAGGATACACGGGGATCAGGGACCCACTTGAGGAGGCAGTCTGTCCCTTATCAGAGCTCGAATGCTGTGCTGGTAGATCTGCTGTTTTCTTCAGAACTGCCAGGTAGAGACTTTTAAGTCTGCTGAAGCTGAACCCACAACCAGCCCTTCCCCAGGTGCTCTGTCCCAGGGAGGTAGGGGTTGTGTATATAAGTCTCTGACTGGGGCTGCTGCCTTTTATTCAGAGATGCCCTGCCCGGAGAGGAGACAGTCTGGCAGCAGCAGCCTTGCTTAGCTGGGGTGGGCTCCACCCAGTTCGAACTTCCTGGTGGCTTTGTTTACACTGTGATGGTGAAACCACCTACTCAAGCCTCAGCAATGGCGGATGCCCCTCCCCTCACCAAGCTCGAGTGTCCCAGGTTGAGCTCAGACTGCTGCTGTGCTGGCAGTGAGAATTTCAAGCCAGCAGATCTTAGCTTGCTGGGCTCCGTGGGGATGGGATTAGCCTAGCCAGACTACTTGGCTCCCTGGCTTCAGCCCCCTTTGCAGGGGAGTGAACAGTTCTGTCTTGCTGGCATTCTAGGCACCACTGGGGTACGAAAAAAAACTCCTGCACCTATCTCAGTGTCTGCCCAAAGAGCCACCCAGTTTTGTGATGGAAACCCAGGGCCCTGGTGGTATAGGCACCGGAAGGAATCTCCTGGTCTGTGGGTTGCAAAGACCTTGGGGAAAGTGCAGTATCTGGGCCAGAGTGCACGGTACAGTCCCTAATGGCTTCCCTTGGCTAGGAGAGGGGGTTCCACGACCCCTTGCACATCTCCAGTGAGGCAACGCCCCACCCTGCTTCACCTCTCCCTCCTTGGGCTGCACCCAGTGTCCAACCAGTCCCAATGAGATGAACCAGGTACCTCAGGTGGAAATGCAGAAATCACTGCCTTCTGCATCAATCTCATTGGGAGCTGCAGACCGAAGCTGTTCCTATTCAGCCATCTTATTGTAGTTATTTTTTAAAAATTCAATCAGGATGAGGAAACTTTCCACTTTCTCAGCATTAATGATGTTTCCTGTGGCGGATATTAGCTATATGTGACCTAAAATTGACTGAAATTTCTATGTCCTTACAATCAAAATCAGTACATTATTAAACCAACTTAAAGTCATCTGTGTTATCTACATGTTGATGATGATTATGTAATATATTAAATAATACACATGAACAATCTGTACAGAGTTTCTGTATTAATATTGTCAAAAATAAATTTTGTGATATCAGTTTTTTATCTTGATGCTCAGAACATCAATAAACCATTTAACAGTCGACCCTGTAATTCAGGAACACCACAAGTAGCAGTCAACTATATTCAGACCTAAAAAGAGTTTTCAAGTCAAAAATTTTTACTAGGGACTTCTAAGCTTGGTTTAGTCACCAAGAAGAGTATGATCCCTTAAAGATAAGTGAATGCTTCAAGCTCATCAATAATAAAATTTAGCCAATGTTTCTTAGTCAGGCAATTTACAGTTATTAGATTGTGATGGTTAATTTTATGTGTCAACTTAACTGGGTTAAGGGATACCCAGAGAGGTGGTAAAGTGTTATTGCTGGGTGTGTGTATGAGGGTGTTTCTGGAAGAGATTAGCATTTAAATCTGAGTAAAAAAGACCTGCTCTCACAAATGTGAGTGGGCATAATTCAATTCCTCATAGGTACCAATGGAACAAAATGGCTGAGGAAGAGTGAGTTTGCCTCCTTTTTTGGAGCACATGCATTCTCTTATGCACACAGACAGCAGAACCCCAGGTTGTTGGGCCTCTGGACTCCGGGTCTTACATGAAGCCTCACCCCTACCCATCCCATCCAGAGTTTTAGGTCTTTGGGCTCAAACTGAATTAAAACACCAACTTTCCTGGTTCTCCAGTTTGCAGGTGGCATATTGTGGGACTTCTCAGCTTCCATAATCACGTGAGCCAAGTCCCATAATAAATCCTCTCTTGTGTATCTATGTATATCCTATGGTTGGTGTTTCTCTGGAGAACCCTGGCTAATACACAGATGATAGGTAAACCTTTAGAAGTGGCTCACACTGACAAAAACATCCATATAGTCCATGACTTTTGATTCTCAGAAAGCAGTTTAACTTCTATGGGTTATCAGCCAATTCAGGTAAATAACATTAACCTATAAAATATATTTTCATTTTAAAATATGAAATCAATATACATTGAAAATATTTAAAATATATACAAATCTTTTAAATGATAGAGCTATGTATACTAAAACATAGCAAGTAAAATATACAAAAATTATCATTTTTTCTAAAAGGAAAACTAAAGAGGAAAGAGTATATATAAAAATGAGTGTATTAAAAGAGAGAGATAATGTTAATTCAATAAAAGAGGTATGCATTATAAAACTGATAAAATGTTCTTGAACAAGGGTCGTGAAGCATTTTTGTAGAGGGAGTAAAAGCAATGAACATAAAATTTCCCCAGAATTTAAGACATTTCTTAATATAATAGAATACAAAAAAAAACTGATTTACAAGGTCAGCAATTAAAGTGTGAAGGAACAAGATATTTGAATGAGGGGGAAGGTAGTTCGAATAACTAAGATCGAAGGGAATTGAGAATTGTAACTGGTCAGGACCAACTAATGGGCTGCCACAGGGATAAGTATTAAGACAGATTTTTGTTCACTTTATACATCAATGACCCAAAAGAGGGCATCTACATTAAGAGGATAAAATCTGCTGACATAGGGATAGTTGGGGTGTTGAAGGGGCATTCACAAAGAGTGCTTAGACGGACTTGGACAGGCTAAAAGCATGGAGTGATAAGTGGCTCTCTCCATTCAATTCTGAAGAAAAAATTCTAGAAACTTAAAACCATAAGAAAATAAAAAGGAATATATATCCTTAAAATCTCTGGAGGCTTGAGCTCTGAAAGAAAGACACTGAGGTAAATCTTTCGTTATGCTTAGAAGTAAAAATATAGGGAAGAAATAGGAAAGTAGGTGTTCAGTATATGGATATTATATCAATAGCCTACAAAATTGTACTTCTGCCGTAAGATTCACATGTCCTCATTTCTCAACCACCCACATCCCCATTTTTTTCTCCTTGACCCCTAACATGCAATGACTCATCATGTTGAGACTGCAGTTACTTTTCTTTTATCTTTTTAGATATTCTGGAGACTAGTAATAATCAGGACAGATGTGGCCATCTATCTACCCTGACCATGTATGTGTGTGCGTGACACAGTTAACCATAATAGGCACAGCAGAATCCCCACAAGGTAGCCCAAGGGTATTTTGCCCCTACTAGTTTTCATAGTTTCTATTAGCATATTTATTATTTATTAATAAGAAGCAGGAGAGAAGTGTAAGACAGTAGTTGAGTAACAGAAAACTAGACAACCCAGTGACTCTTATACACAGAAGACTGGCAGTCCCTGACTATGCCTATGCCCAAGGGGAAGGAATCAGACCAAATCTCTTAAATTCTTGGTACTTGCAATGTAATTGCAGAGTGACTTGTGTTCCACAAATCTAAGCAACAACAACAGAAGTAGATTACTAAATATTATATATCACTACCTATTGATGAATTCTTTAAGTCAAAAATCAAGCCTCTTTTCTGCTCTACATAGAAATCAAAACCAAGATATAGTTATCAACTGTCCTACTCACTTGCCTAAAACATGTTTAGTAGCTTTCCATTCATTACAGGATGATAGTCATACTGTTAGGTAAATAATGAACATTCAGTAATACTTATGAAGCAAGACACCGTGGTTTGAGTTTATTTAGTCTTCACAATAATTCCTCAGGTTAATATAATATTACGCTAAATTTACAGATAAAGAAATCAAGATCCAGAGATATCAAATAATTTTTTTGAGATCTCAGCACTAGAGAGAGATGGAACCTGGATTCCTACCCAGGTCTATCTCATGTCAAAGTCCTTGTTCTTTCCATCACAATTGTGATGTATTTGTGTTTACACCAACAGGTAACAGTCAACTATATTTGGACCAAAAAATGGTTAATAGGAGGCTGGAAGATAGAAAAACAATGCATAAGAAGATAAGATGGTCACATCCACCTACATGCATACCCTCTCCTTACCTTGCTTTGGCATTCCAGGTCTTCATCAACAGGGCTGGCATCTTGTAAATCCTTCATCTGCTTCATGCACTGTATGCACCAATTGAGCTATACTACTGGGTATTTCTCTTGAATGTTCCTTGCTTGTTACAAGCAGTTTGCTGCAAGCAGTCCCACAATCTCCAAATGTCCAGCTCCCCACAGGGGGAACAATTCTCTCCCTCTCCAAATCATGCTACTTATGCTGCTCTTTTGCACTGCAGCTATTCATACACTTCTTGGTGCCCTTCATGTCTGAAAATTTGTACTTCCTGCCCACATCATTAGCACATTGCCTTGAACATGGTAGCTGCTCAATGTGTGTTTGTTGAATGCATACACTTATGTGCTTATGTCAAGTGGTAACCCATATAGAGCTCACCTATCATGCTGAATTTTTTATACTTGATTAACTCCCAGCATGTAAAGCAGAATTACTATTAATCCCAGTATTGAAGGCAGAATTACTGTTGTGAAGTCTTAGACTTTACTTTTTTTTAGTGTTGTATAAAGTTGCAAAATTTGTCAACCTTCTTCAAACACTTTTTCCTTTCCCTTAGATGCTTTTATAACCTAACTTGATATCATAATAGTCTGGAGGAAACTAACTTTTCGGTTAATGGTGCAGGCTCTGTATATTACCTAGATCAAATCCTGGCCGTGGCACTTGTGTTGTGACCTTAGGCAAATCACTTAAACTTTCTGCGCCTCAATTTCTTCATCTGTCAGATGGGTTAGATGAGTACCTACCTTCCCAGAAAATTGCCTGGAACATTAATAATAACACTTAGCAAATATTAGCTCAGACTGAAATAATTGCAAATCTGATTATCTTATTTCCTCCCACTTTGCTCTTCTTTCACTTCATTTATGATCTTTCCTCCTTCAATAGATGGAAAGCTCTAATTTAAGGTTATAAAGAAAATTAAGACGGACTCGTTTTCCACATTGAGTTAAATTAAGCTCACAAACAATTATTGATAATGTACGATGGGTCATGTACTGGCCTGATGCTGGGAGACAAAGAGCAGAGCAGACACGCATATTTACCTCTGACCTTGATCTTACAGCAGAGAAGCAGAGAAGCACCTTTAAAAATCACACTATCTGGTGCTTTAAACAGAGAATTGTTTAGAAAGTGGTCTCCAGATGCCAAAGTAGAATTTATTACTAGAGCTAAGTTCCTTATTCTTAGGCAACAAAATGATTACTTTGTCAATCACTTTGATACCTTTCACCTAAATACCAGCAAGAAGCAGAGTAAAACCCTGAGTTATCATGGCCTTTCCCTGACAGCACATGCTGGCCTTCAGCCTCTAGTGCAACCCACCCATCTATCATAGGAACCACAGATGGTACTCTGCTAAGGGCAAGCAATCTACTTTGTTAAATGTGTTCTGCGCCTCAATTCTAAAGTCTAGGTTTTGGTTTCCCTAGGCTTAGGAGTAGCCCCATGCTAATTATTTTGGAGAATTTCTGTATAAAGCACATTTAACATATCCAAAGATTATTACTTAATGCATGTTCTGAAAGGATTGTTAGAAATACTGTAGAGGACAATATATGTGCTCATTAATATTACTGGTTTAAATAATAAGCTGTCTAAATAAGTATATTGAACATATATAATATGCGCATATTATATATATATATATAATGTATTATATGTACCATATATTTATGGTAGAAAAAGGCATAAATGAATCTATCAGTATTATGGCAAACTCTAAACTAAATACAAAGAAATGTGTATGTGTGTGTGTGTTTGTGTGTGTGTAATTCCCCTCTCCTCCTCCATATAGACATATAGGTCAGTTTTCATTTGTTTTAAGCGGTAAATTGCTAGTTATTATCTATTATGTTCTTCAAGTGGATACAATGTTATGAAAATATTGCAAAATGCAGGAAGCGAGACAAATTGTACATTAGCAAATCTCTTGGTGACTGTCCAGCTTCTTGGCTGTCCTCATTTCCACTGACATCTTAGGACAACCAAGAGTGACCTTCAGGTTCTGGATTCAAGGTCTCTTCTCAGGAAAAGAAGCAAGAGAAAAACCATTTCTTAAAGTTGCTATAGCTTTTTATGAAAGGTTTCCTTATGTTTAATACCATTTAGTAAAATTTTGTGTTTCTCATATGATTGCATAAAAAAGTGGCAAACACCAAGAGTCAAATTGATAATTGTTTTATTTTCATTTTAAGCAATAAAAAATAATTTTATTGATGTAAAGAAACTAAGGCCACACACATGAGAAAAGCAAATTATTTCAACTGACTTCAAATATAATGTGTAGTGGCTATATTTCATTTCTAAGTGGTGAATAGCAATTGTTATATCGATATTTATCTATATTATTGGATTCGCTGAGGCTCAGACAATAGTCCAGATGCCATCACAAATATGCACTGGTTACCATTTACGTCAATGAGAATTTATTGAGCAACATTTAAGGCCAGGAATACAAGGAGTACAAGGACACGTTAATCACATTTAAGAGTTCCCATATTCTTTCCTCAAAGAACTTAGGTGCTTTGGGGAGAAGAAGGCACAGATCTCAAAGCAGGTAACTAATACAAGCCATAGAAAAATAAGTTTATTAGAGCAATATGAGCTTAGGCTTTCAGATGGAGCGAGAAATGTGAGTGGAAATTAGTACAAAAATATTTTGGAATTAAATAAAAGCTGGAAAGGAAAAGAGGAAGAAAGTATTAAATATAAGAGAAAAGGAGGAAGAGCAGCTGCTTCATTAGAATTCGTCTTTAAAAACAAGAGAAATATCTAGAGGGTGAATTCTTAATTTATGTTCCCAATAGACTATGCCATGATAGACAGAAGAGGCTGTGTATACTTTTAGTTCCAATTTGATCCTAAGCACTCAGCACACCTCCTTGGCATGTAGAAATAGGCGCTCAGTAAACATTTGTTGAGTGACTTCTCCCTGTCTTCTACTCCTCTCACACTCAGTAATGCTTCAAGATCATTTAATCTGCTGAATTAAGCTCCCTCTCTTCCTTATCCTATCTTTTAAATGTTATATTAAGTTAAACCAGGTGGAATTCCACTTTTTTAAGTCCAAATGGTTGGAAAGCAACAATTTTATATGGTTCAACCTAGTAATGCAACTAGTATACAGGAGTTCATCTATTTACTCCAAGAAACTAAGACAAACAATTAATTACGTTGAAACAAATGCATGATACATTTTCCCAGGCACAATCTAACAGGAAGGTTTCCCAGAACCTTAATCAAAATGGTTCATAGGACTAAGCGATGTGGCTATTTACAATGTTGACAATTTTATCAACGATTGCTTATGTACTTCAAACCTGAGCCTCTGAGTACATGTAACTGGGTCCTACTTGTGGTTGACTTCCATCATCTGAATGCTCTGTTCAGATACTCTGCTCTTCACTATTTAGCTTTCCTTACTAGAAACTCTTTTAAGATATTAATGCTTTTTAATGCTTTAATTTTGATGTAGTGGATGTATCCTACAGTGACGCTCTTCCTCCTGCTTCTATAAACCATGCATTCTTTTGTACCAGACCTGATATTCAATCTCAGCTTCACTTCCTATTTCACAATCTCTAGAAGTTGGATTGTGACAAGGAGTAATGAACCTCAATAGGCAAAGCAACTATGCTGCCTGGTACTGGGTTAAGAATTATGACAGAACCCTACGTATTCTCATGACAGGAGCATGTATCCTTAATTAATAGAATGACCATGTAATTTATCATACAAATATGGATACCTTTGAGAGTGAAAAGGTGGAACTATTAAAAATTACACCAGAATAACAGACCTAAACAGAGACTGTTCTGGGCAAACCAAGACATCGGGCTATACTACAAATTGAGGATTTTCTGAAGTACTTTCTTTAGAACACATCCTGAGGTGCATTTCTGTGAATAAAATGGGTAATACGATCAAATAACTAACTCACTAGAGAGTGACTTAGATATTAAGAAGGAAAGGTCAAATTTGTTATTATCTACATAGTTTGACCCTCTTTACTTCACATTTCACATCCTATATTTTTGTTTTCTGTGGGACTTTGTGGCAGATGCTACATGTTATTTTCCATGACTTTTGGCAAGATAGTAGTAATTTTTCTGATTTCCTTAAATTTTCTTAAATTCATTTGGAAGGAAAGAAATTTCCCTAATCTGTTATTCCCATAATGCTTAGTACTGGATTATTATTCTTCAGCTACCATACTTTCTTGTTTGATTAGAAAATGAGTAAATTAAAGCAAAATTATGTGTGAATATTTGACAAATTATCTTTAATTATAAGCAACAAGGTATGAAAGGTAACAAATTCAGGCCAAAAGTCAGAACACTCATTTTTAAATTTAATCTCTGCTATTAACCATCTATGAGATGGTAAGTGAGCCCTCATATTCTCAAAGGAAAAAAAAAAACAAGAGGATAGAACATTCTACCTGCCTTCTATGTGCTAGGATTGTGTGAGGCTAGGCATAAATCTCATTTACCCCCTGTAACTGTCCTGTAAAGGTGACACTACATTGTTTATTTGCAAGTTCATAGAAATTTAGTAACTTCCCCCAAACCCTCACCTAGAAAATGATAGGGCAGGATTTGAATCCAGTTTTGTATGCAACGTTCATGCTGCCAGAAGAACATTTCTTTATTTAGCTTGAAAATAAGAATCTTATTAGTAAATCACAATATTGTTGTGATGATTCAAAAATAATTAAATACTAAAATATGTTTCCAAATTCAAACAATGTATAAATTTGGGTATTACTGGTCCTTTTCCTTGTATTCTCTATTCTTTTCTTGAGTCTTTAAATTGGGATTTAAATAAAACTTTTGAAACAGCTATTATATTTTATAAGAAGAGAATGGACTGCGAATATTTTTCCAAGTAGTGTCTAATTTCCTTTGAGTCCAAGTCAAGTGCGAGACCACCATGCTGGGATGGTATCTGTTCCTAGGGGCTCGTGCCATGGGCATTTGCATCTTTCTATTATCACCACTCTAGGTCACCCTGACATTTCAAAACACCTGCTTTGTCTTGTATTTATATTGGAGTCCTTTATTAGACCAAGGTACAGTTTATTTTTAATTATTATGTATTCTGCCTTCATCTATAAGATGACATTCTAGCTAATCAACTACAGCACTACCATTTAAGGCAAGAGAAGAAGGTGAAAGGAGAACAAGGCAATTACAAGGTTAGTCTCTATTTTCAAAGCATTGCCTGAGGCTCCATTCAGGTAATTCCAATTAACTTTTATGGAAAGTTACTCAGCTAAAACTCCAGCAAATGCTACTGTAACTAGATTCAGTGCTCTAGCGCTACATAACTGCTGAGGAATTTAAGCTATAAATTTTTTCACACATACCAAAAACAGTGCTTCCAAGACTGACCTACGTGATATGTTCCCCATGGTCTAATGCAAATTAAGATGACTGTGATATAAAGATCTTCAAGACCAGGGTCATCATGGAAACATTAGCAGACCCTTCACTACCAAAGCCCTGTGGGGGGCCATTAAGATATTTTATGGAAGTGCTAGTGGCAGCCTTAGAGCAAATGGCAAAGAGCAGGAAACATAAGCAACTGTAAAAAGAAAACAAAACAAAAACCCAATAAGAGACAATGAGGACATCATTAAAAACATAAAGGCAATGAAAATGCCTATGGTGTATTTTCCATTATCTGTGACCTTGGGTTGCAGTTTTGGCTCTGTGTTCATTATCAGTTTCAGAAAAATGTCGCCTCATACTCCTCAGCTCACACATTCTTTGTATGATTCCTTAGAAGAGGAGAGACAAAGTCCAAAGCTGGCTGACAAAACACAATTTACTATTCTCATCTGGTAGGAATTTTTTCTCTGCACTTTTCATTATTGTCTCTTAGGGAATCTATCCAGGATGACAAGAAGATAAAAATTAGTTTGAGGCCCATTACCCTGTCTTGAATGTTCATAGCCTCCCAGTGTGTTATTCATATTAACAAATTCAGCTTTCTGCCTCCAAAAGGCAGTCAGTTAGCAAGATTCCACTGAGCAAAAGAGATCTCTTAGCCACAGTTAACCTGTCAGGTTATCATAAATTAGAATCACAGATAACAGTAATCTAGATGTAGAAATGTTACTCAACCTAGATCATGATCCAAATTTGTAGGTGATTTCCAACAACTCCTCTAAAAAATAAATAGGTTTCTTAATTCCTAATATGTTCAGCTTTTTCTTTTGTGTTTTTTAAGTGCAACACCAAAAATATATATGTGCTTTAATTTTAAGTGAAATAGGTATTGTATATTCTAAATAAAGTAATTGGAGTTAATTTCTCAATTCTTCCCATCACAAGGCATTTTATTCCAGGTATCCCAAGGTTAAAGTCGATGCCACCACAGACTACTAGGAAAATATATGTCCCCATTTCTTCCATTTGCTTTGCATGTATAAATACAGTTTTTACATAATCTTTTTGTAGAATACTAAATTAAATGTGACTGTGAAGCCTGTATTTTTCCAATATTTAGTAGTTGTTTGATGAAGTTTGGCAACCTAATTCTCATAAAAATGATTAAGTAGAATTATACTAGCAAGAATCAGCTATCACATAATATTTGTGACAGTGGATAAGAAATAAGATAGTGAATGGGAATTTTTTTTTCTCTGTCTTGTTAATCAGATAACCTTTCTATATGATTCTTACATAATTGAAACTTAGATCCTAAAGAATTAAGCATGAAGTATATTGGGGGTTCTTCTTTGTGATCAGTCTGAAATGGTTTGATTTGTTATCCTTAGAAATACTCTCTTTCTAGGTAAAGTAAAGTATACTAATTTTTTTCTCCATTTCCAATGCTACTCTTCTTACTTAATTTTCTACTGGTACAACTCTAAAGTAAAAAAAATCATTAGATTTGAACTAGAAAATGAAAATTACTTACAGAGATTATTATATTTCTTTTCATTTGAAAAATCTTTCAAAACTGACCTGTAGCATTCTTGAGGCTCATATTCAGTTAATGGTTGAGTCTCTCTCTTTGCACCTAAAAAGATGCATTCGATAAGAATCTTTCTGGAGGGAGAGGGGGCGTTAATTAAAGTTCCTCTCTCCAAAGCAGTCTCATCTTCATTTTAGAATACACATACTAGAGAGAATAGTTAATTTTTTAACTTAGTATGAATCTATTTTGAAAACTACCCCCCTACTTCCATGCTTACACTTGATGTCGAGGTCAGTTGATTCGTGGAAGTTAGAAAGCAGATTGAATAGTCAGAGAATATGGCAGAAATGTGGATGTAGAGAGTCCTTCAACCTTGACCTCAACCACTGGATGAGTAAGAAGCTAGAAGAAATTCATGGAGCCAAATCAAGTACAACATCAGCCAAGAAGACAGCCAGCAGGGACCAGAACCCATAGCCACAGTAGAACAAAGCTAAGGCTGGAATACCAAAAATTGTGAAAATAGATGTAATTTTAAAAAGTTCAAGGTCAAGGCAGATGGTTGAAATCTAGTGTCTCTATAGAAACAATAAGCAAAACCATACCAATAGTGACAGACCAATGTTCAAAGAGGTATCTTGTTTTAATTTCTTGACTTGTAATTGGTTGTGAAAGGCAAACATCAAGCTCACAGTGCCTTATCTGGATTCTGAAGAATGTGTGTGTGTGCATGTGTGTGTGTTCCTGTGTGTAGAAAATAAGAACCCCCTGGCTGGGGTGTAGAAGGGTGGGGAGGGATAGTTACAGAGGAATTATAGCACTTCTCTTTGGGATCAGAATGGGACTGTGCTCACCTCACAGTGTTACCCTTTTCCCCCTGGTCCTCCCAGAATGGCCCAGCTGCTTAGCCACACTACAAAGAAATTCCACGCGCATGTCCTGAAAGACCTCTTGTGGTGAGGCACTGTCTGTCTGCTTTCAGGCTGGGTGCTTTGGCAAAATCCATTCATTCATTAAAGAAAGTAATGCTTTCAACCTCTTTCCCCCTTTCTTTCCAGGAGAGGGAGAGATGCCTCAAATTCTTCTATGGCAACTCACTTTATGTATGCTTTGGAACAGGATATGATAGGAAAGAGGGGGCAGATTAAGTTTATATTTGAAAAATTCCTTCTGCGTGAAATATGTGCCTGCTCTCTCTACTACCAAGTTAATTTTTTCCTCTTCTTTTTCCTTTTTGATTGTTGACTTTTAATCAATTAATAGCAAAACCAAGGAGTTAGGTGGACTGTGACATATATTATCACCCTTATTTTCCCCAAAATGTAGGACTTCTGATAAACTGTTGGAAGATAGAGTTGCTTTTACAAAACATCATAGGTTCCTCACTTCCAGGATAGTGTAGGAGAAAATGTGAATTATATATTGCTTTTCTTTAAGGTTGCAGGCAAGTCATGGATTATTTACACATGGTATATGACTGTCTAGAAAAAGAAACAAAATCAAGAACATTTAAGAACTAATAAAAACATTTAGAAATACTGCCAGATATAAAATTAACCTACAAAATTATACAGCACTGGCAATAAGCAACTAGAAAAATAATTAATAAAAATCATGTACAAACACAGCAAAAATTATAAGGTATATAAGTATTAACTTTATTTAGAAAGCTTAAGATCTTCTTGGAGGAAACTACATTAATAAAAGACAAATAGAAAGACATCTCATGGTTGTAGACAGACGTTGTTTACATTATACAGATGATGCTACCTATGTTCTTCTATAAATTTAATGCAAGGTTAGTTAATATCTATTTAGACATTTGAGGAACTCAGTAAAGTTTCTTAAGTTACTTGGAAAATAGAGATCCACAAATAACTACAATTTGAAAAATGAAAAATTATATATAGAGAAATTGCCTTATCAGGTTTTTAAGATCTATATTCTGAACAGCAAGCAGGTAATCCATGGATCCTGAGCTAGGTGTGCATTTACATGCAGAAAAGACCCAGGGAAGAATCTCACTAACTTTCTTTCAGTTCTCCAAAGAGCATGACCCAAGGAAAGGAGAGAGAATGAAATAGAGGCTGAAAGGCTGAAACTGTGTCACCACTTGTGAGGTAAAGGAATTCCACACTACTGAAAAATGTGAGCTGATGAAGATCAGACTCGTACCAATGAGTTTAGTAACTCCTCTGACCTTGAGGAGTACAGGTAGTGAGGAGGGCAAAGGCTCTCTTACAAGGCCAAGTGTGAAAGTGATGGAAAGTGACAGTGAGAACATGGGGACTGGGGAACATGGGCTTCCCTCTTCATAACATTCATAACATTCTATCATAAGGATGTATCATAAGTCATTGAACCATTTTCAGATTCTTGGAAAATCAATTTGTGTCTAATTTTTTAGCATAAATAATACTGTAATATATTGGTAAATTTAAATCATTGGATACCTGTCTCTGTTTAAATATTGTTTGCAAAAATATAAAAAATAAACAGCTAAACACCTTTTCACAAAGTGTTTCAAATTTAACATGAGCATTTACTTAGCACAGTGACCAAGTTCACATTTGCCCTGAAGATGATTATTACTTTTTTAATTTTAAAAAATTTTTGTATGTTTAGGAGGTACAAGTGCAGATATCTGACATGCATATATAGCATAGTGGAAACTCTGGGCTTTTAGTGTACCCAGATAGTGAACATTGTACCCAATAGGTGATTTTGCAGCTATCACCACCCACCCCCCACACACACCTCCCTGTCCCCTGCCGCCCTACTATCTTTTGGAGTCTCCAGGGTCTACTCTTCCACTCTCTATGCTCATATGTTCCCATTGTTTAGCTCCCAATTATAAATGAGAACATGTGGTATTTGACTTTGTTTCTAAGTCCTTTCACTTTGGATAATGGCCTGAGGAAGGTTATTAGAGTTTACTTTGTCCAGTACCTTTATTTCCATTTGCTTTCTATGAATATTGACTCTAAAGTCAATAGCATGTAGGTGACAGTCAGCAGGCACCCTTTTGATTCATACATTAGCACTTGCACAGACTACTGAGGCCTGCTTGGAATATCCAAATCTTTGCTATGAGAGGACAAGACTCACAAAAGGAACCTCCTCAAGGCTGGCTTCCAGATCAAGGATTTTGCTAATGCCCATAGTCGTTCTAGAAACTGGCCTAAAGATTACAAAACTGCTTTTTTTTTTTCTTAAAATAAAGACTATTCTGTCCCCACCTCAGTATGAAATTTGAACTTATTAGGGCAAATTGAAACAAAGATAATTCCCATACTTAGTCACACTCCTTTCCTCCCTTTCCCCAATGATTTCATCCAAAGCCTACCATTCTCAGCCCAGTTGTCTGTGGAAAAATATTTTAAAATATTAGAGAGACTGCCTCTTGTTGGACTTCTCAAAAAGTATTTGCAGAGCTAAAGTGGTGATTGCTTAAGTTGTTAATACCTATCTTTTATTTCATCCATTCATTTCTTTATTCACTCATTCATTAAACAAATAGTTATTAAGGGCCTTTACATTGTCATTTATAATGTTTGATCCAATGGTGAATAAAACAGACATATTCTGTATCCTATGGAACAGATGTAAAATGAAGAAATAAAGTAATTACAAATTGTAATGAGTGAGAAATATAAATTAAACCCAAAAAAGGAGGTGAGATAGAAAATCATGGAAAGGAATGACTTGGGATGGAGCTCTTTCAATGGTATATCCATATAAGAAAGATCATGTGATATTTTTTCTGATGTAAATAAACACAACCACTTAAAATGCAACAACAAAAATCAAAATATGAATATTGCATGAGAATTATTCACTGTAGTAGAAAAAAAATTGCTACAGTTCTATAAAGTCATCTTGATGTATCAAGTACAATTTCCAAGTTTCTAAGCAAAGACTTGCCTTGACAGGATTATTAGTAGCTGATAACTGTGGATTTGGGCTGTCTCATTTTAGTCATGTCACTTGTGGGACATATTCACCAGGAAGCTATGCCAACTGGCACCATATCAAGAAGATTGAACTGCTCTGGGAAGGAATTCTAAGTATGGTACACCCAAGGACTAGACCCAAGAGGTTTAGCAGAGAAGCTCTGCTGCAGAAGAGCCAAGTCATTAGTATTTATTTCTTAACCATCAACCCTGAGGATTGTGTGTGCATATGTGAGCCATTGAAACTGTGCTCTGAAAGTGTAAACTGAAGACAGTACATACCTGACACAATTTAGAAAAGACAGTGCTTCCTGTATAGATCACAACTATTTTAGCAAAACAGTTATTAAAAATAACTACATTACCTCATGCCTGTAATCCCAGCACTTTGGGAGGCTGAGGCAGGTGGATCACGAGGTCAGGAGATCGAAACCATCCTGGCTAACACAGTGAAACCCCATCCCTACTAAACAAAATACAAAAAAATTAGCCGGGCATGGTGGTGGGCACCTGTAGTCCCAGCTACTCAGGAGGCTGAGGCAGGAGAATGGTATGAACCCAGGAGATGGAGCTTGCAGTGAGCCGAGATAGCGCCACTGCACTCCAGCCTGGGCGACAGAGTGAGACTCCGTCTCAAAACAAAAAAACAAACAAAAACCATACTACATTTTTCAAAATTAACTTATTTATCTAAATACTAAATATGAAGCACAAAAGATGCCTTAGTTCATGTTAAGGACCATATTCTTGTAAAGCTATATAATGTCATTTTTGGAATACAAACTGCATTTGCTCTGAGCTTTCCATGCACGTGCAAAATAAAACACCCCCAGCAAATGCCTGTAGCCACTCCAATATATACCACCTACTGTGGCTTCCCCATATATCAAATACAGCTGAGTTTATTTCAAGATTGTTAAGAATGCATCTCACCCACAATTGTTAAAATGTAAGTTCAGTCCAATAGATGACCTAAATGACCCTTTATTGCTACACAGCTCTTATTACATCCTGTAGAAATCAGCAATGTAAATATTCTGCCCCACGTCAACTAACACAGAAACTGGTGGAGCTAGGTTGCTGGAAATTTTGGCATGGTGTGTAAATTCACAAGAATCCATCAAGCTCTTCTATTATTTATTCTGTAGAATTTGTAGGCAGTCTGTGGAGTAACAGGTGTAGCCCCTATGGGTCGACCACCACCTGAATTATGCATGGGGAAAGGAAAGCAGCACCATATATACTACAGTTTGGTATTGTTCATTTGGGGGAATAATTTTGCCTACAATGGCTGTCTGAAAAATCTTCCTTAGCAATAGTCCATATGTTGTATGAGCAGGTATGTTGGCTAGGGCTGCTTCCTTTGTGCCTGATGAGCAAGAGTTAAACCTGGCGGTCCCACCTACTATTTACTGATTTTTGATTTTGGTCAAGACATTTTTTTTAACTTAGTTAACTTTCAGTTTCATTACCTGAAGAATAAGGAAAACAATATATATGTAAATTATTTATCATTAGTAGAACACTAATAACTGGGTCTTATTATTATTTAAAATGTATTAAGGTCTTAATTATTAGATAGAAGGGACAGGCATAGAACAGCAGTTACTTGTGTTTGAAAATCACTAAAGTCAAATCTTTGTGCCCTCTACATGAAAGGCTGTATATCATGATAAGTTATTGTCATTATGTACTATTTTAGTACATATTTCTGATGTCATTTCTGATTATGAATGGTGATCATGGAGAGTGAGGCTGTGTCATGAAGGGAGAAGAGGAGCAGACTTCCACCCCCTGAAGGGCCTGTCCTAATTCAGACTTGTGATTGGAGACCCAGCAAGTCACAGAACCTCTGTCATTAAATATTATCATTTGGACAGTAAAATGATGATCCAAAGTAGCTTATGAAGGTTACGCAGCTGTTATACTTCACTATATGTATAAGAAACCTCACATGTAAGGAGATTATATGAGGTATAAGAAAGCCTAAGTAACTCGACTGAAGTTTACACTTGTTTATGGAGGAAAGCACTTTGTTATGTCACTATTCATTAGTTACAAGCAATGGAAATGCACAACAATCATAACAATAACAAGTCTAATATTATCTAACATTTACTGAGAATTTGCGCTGTGTCAGGTACACTGCTAAGTGCTTTATGTTTCATTTCCTCATGCAATTCTTATAGTATCCCTAAGAGGCAGGCATGAATATCATTTTGATTTTTCAGAGAGAGAAATTGAGGCTTAATTAGTTTAAGTAAATGGTTCAAGTCTACACCAGGAATAAGAGCTACAGCCAGTTCTGTTTGACTCTAAAATTCAGAATTATAGTTGCTTTTTAAAGTTACCTAGGACAAATGTAACAGGATTATTTACCTCTCTGTAAACCAGATCAACGTTTTTGCTGTAGTGCTCAACACAGTTGAGACACTGACATATGAGAGAAACGAATGCCTACTTTCTTCCAAAAACTAATGGAATGAAATTTTCATAAATCTTGTCAGCTTTGTTTCAAAATTTTCTTACTATGACTCATAAGCATAAAGACCAAAGCTGCCATGAAAGATGGAGAATTAAAGTTGGAAAAACTGCATTTTTGAGTCTCAACAATACTCTCTACTCACTTTATTTTTGTGGCCCTGATTTCTCTGAGACATAAATATTACATTTATGTCTGCGTGGAAAGTACTGCATGAGATGAGGCATTTTTTATTATAAGTTTACCTTTTCCCCAAATGATAAATTATCCCATTCTTAGAAGTCTATTGTGGGCCCAGATGATAACTCATAATCTCACTGTTATTTCCACTTCAGAGCCTATTCTGATCATTGAAAGTTAAAGGGCAAGAGGTTCTGAAGCACCATTTATACCTTCACTTCACAGTAGATGAGTCTTAAAGGCTGGGAGTAGGAAGTCCCAGAGCTAAGGGTGGTTGGGTTGTTAGTTTCTTGCGTGTTTCTTTTCTGGAGATAAGAAGCCAATTATTTTCCCTCCAAAACAAAACAAAACAAAAAACAGTCTTGAGTGAGACACAATAAAGAGCCCCTCCCATTTTCCAGAAAGTTGATAAAAATATCAGAAAAAAATCTGAGCCAAGGAGCCTGAATACAAACGCTGGGCCTGCCAAATGAAAAAGGAGAAGAAGCAGAAGCAGTGACAAGCCAGGAAGAAGTGGCCCAAGTAACAGAGAAAAGGTTGAGAAGGTGAAGGTATGAGGGCTCTAAAAAGGGAAGTGATTCTCTGCATCCTTGAAAGCTCCACCATTCCAAGGTGTGTGAGCACTCCTGCAAGCCAGAAACAGAGAGAACATGAACTCAGCAGTAGCCACAAAACCCCACCTGTTTTAAGCAAGGGAAACATCAAATGATAAGAGAAAAAATAATTAATAACTAAACAAACAAATAAGTAACTATAGACAGAAAGCGTTCTACATAATGAGTGAGAATCTGCCAGGGCAATCTGTAAAATTCCTACCAATAAAATTGTAATATGCATATTAGAGAAGATTTTTCATTTAAATTTTTGTGACACAGCTTGCAAAAGACTTTAACAGAAGACATTCCAATTAGCAGAGAGAGACACACCTCCCAAAGCTCATATTTTTGCTCAAATTTGCACAAAAACAGAATAGTAGAAATATAACTGGAAAAGTCATTGTAATTGAAACTGACTATTAAGCAATTTCAGTCAATGAACTGTGCAATTAGTACTTTTGTTACCAGAAAGCTAGTAGTGGACTGAGGAAATCAGAGAAGACAAAAAGAGTATTTAGAAAAAAAATTTCAGTGTTGAATTAAAGCTGATTGACATTGCAGTTATACTGTATACCGTAGTAGTTATGGCTAGATTGTCTTAGTCAGCTTGGGCTGCCATAACAAAATACCACAGACTGGTGAGTTAAACAACAGATATTTGTTTTCTCACAGTTCTGGGGGCTGGATGTGCATGATCAGGGTGCCAGCAGGATCAGGTTCTGGAGAGGGCTCTCTTTCTGACTTATAGATGGCTGCTTTCTCGTTTTTCCTCTTGTGGCCTTTCCTCAGTGACTGCCAAGGAGAGTGAGCTCTGGTCTCTTTCCCTAATCCTGTCATAAGGGTTCCACTTTCATAATCTAATCTAATTCAAATTACCTTCCAAAGGCCTCATCTCCAAATATCATCACGTCGGGAGTTAGGGGTTGATATGGTTTGGCTCTGTGTCCCCACCCAAATCTAATCTTGAATTGTAATAATCCCCATGTGTTGTGGGAGGCACCCAGTGGGAGGTAATTGGATCATGAGGACAGTTCCTCCATTCTGTTTTCATGATAGTAAGAGAGTTCTCACAAGATCTGATGGTTTTATAAGCCTCTGGCATTTCCCCTGCTGACACTCATTCTCTCCCCTGCTGCCATGTGAAGAGGTGCCTTCTGCTATGATTGTAAGTTTCCTGAAGCCTCTCCAGCCATACAGAACTGTGAGTCAATTAACCCTCTTTTCTTTATAAATTACCCAGTCCCTGATACTTCTTCAAAGCAGCATGAGAACAGACTAATACAGGGGTTTAACATATGAATTTGAAGATACACAAACATTCAGTCCATGACATATATGAATATTTATAATTACTCAATAAAAGCTAAAATCTCTTCAACGGCCTCTACAATAGTCTACATGTGTACGTGATCTGCTTCCTGCCTTCGGTACTTTTTATCCTTCAAAGACACACTGATTTCTTTGTGTGTCTTATCCTTCATCAACAACACTGATGTCTTTGCTGTCCCTCCAACACGTTAACATTACTCTTGGTATTTACACTTGCAGTTCTGCTTACCTGAAATGCCCTTCTCCTAGGTAGCTACTTCATTTGCTCTTCCTTCCAGAAGATGTAGGTTCAAAGGTTATCATACCAGAGATGGTTTTCCCTGAACATCTGATATGAAATAGCAGCCTTGCCTACCCACCCTCACCCTACCTTGATATGCTATCCTGTTTACCAGTTTCATTTTTTTGTATACTTCTCAACATTCTGAGTTGTATATATCCGTTTATCATCTGAGTGTCCTATCAGGGGCCACTGTGTTTTGTTCCCTGCTATATCTCCTAGGTCTAGTTCTATATTGGAGCACAGTTGCATTTAATAATTCTTTGCTGACCTACTGGTAAGTGAATAATGTATGTGCTATGCATATTTTACATACACAAACTTAATGCATCCTCATACTAATTATTGTTACATGAAAGATTCTGGATTATACTTCTTGTAAATGTACCACTCTGCTTTGGGAAAGAAATTTCAGGCAGTGTCATTTCGCCCACATATCAGTTCTTAACAACTTTGGTATGCCACTCACTTAGTCAAAACATAGCCCAGGCAAATGAGAATTTTGTAAAAAGTGTTGCTCACATGCCATACCACTTTTGAACAACAGGCTCTCGATCACTGTTGTTATTTGAAGTTGACCATTCCATACAGTGAACTAAAACTAAACTGTTCTTTAATTCGAAATTTAATAAAGACTACTGAGAGGATTAAAGAGACGACCTGAACTACACAATGAAGTGAAAATGCTCTACACATAGTTTATTAAGGAGGTAACATATCATGGAGAACTCACATAATACAAAATGTAGTACTAATAAAAATGTTCAATTTCTTGGCCAAAGGAACAGCAGAACTCTCTTAAGTAACTCTGGCTAAGTAAATAATCCCTTTTTGGTTCTATCCTGGTCATCAATTGCTATGTCACACCAACTCCCACCCTGCACCCAAAAAAATAAAATCTTAAATGCTAGTGGCTTAAGATAACAGCCACCACTTACTTGGTGCAGAGTAGCAATCTGGGCAGGGCTCAAAGGGGAAGGCTCTTCTCTTTTACATGTGGCATCAGATCATTTGGACACTGGGTGATTCCCTCCCATCATGGCACAGTCACATGGCTGGTGATTTGATGATGGTTGTCAGCTGGAGCTCAGTGAAAGCTCTAGGGCCAGGGGCCTCAGTTTCTCTCAGCTTTAGTCTCCTCTTGTGGGCATCTCTATAGGCTTCTTCTTGGCCTTCTCACATCAAGGTATCAGGGCTTACTGAGAAAAAGTCCTAAGAGAGCAAGGTTGAACAGAATTTTTTATAACCTAGCCTTGGAAGTTACAAAGCATTACTTCTACTGTATTCTATTGAGCAAAGCAGTCATAAAGGTCTGCCTGGGTCCTAGGGGAGGTGGGTGCTAGGGACAGGGATCCCACTACTTGATGGAAGGATGGTCAATGCCATTGTAAATGGAGCATGGGGGATGAAGTATACTGTGGTGTCCATCCTTGGAAAATATAATGTACCATAGGTCCTGGCCTGATTTCTCTTCTTGCATTATCCCAATTCTCCTAACTCTATTTGGTGTTTCCTACACCATGATTTTCTCACACTTATCTGCTGTGGGTTGCTGCTTACTTGTATCTGAGTCTTTGTTATTATTTATAAATGATCCTGATTCTCTGCTTATGTACCAAGCCTTTATTCAACAGTGTTCCTTAGGAGCTTTATTTTATCCAAAAAAATTTTTTAAAGATTTCTACCATTAATTGCTTAGTATTCTGAGAATTCCTTATTTATTTTTGTTGATCCCAAAACTCTACTTAATCTCTCTCTTCCTTAGGCATTTGGTACTCTCTGGCTATTTTTTTCTGAATTCTGTATCTTTTCTCACTTATGATAACAACAAAGAAAGTCATATCCTTCTCCTATTTTGATGAAAAGAAAGTAAGAAAATTGAGATACTTGCTGATTAGGGCTTGAGAAGAAAATGAGTATTTCCCTTCATGTCATATGGGAGCATGACATTTTCTCTGACATTCTGTCAGCTGGCCTTTACCCACATACTTACAGGTACCCCCACAGGGGAGTTTTCCTTTTACAGAAGATTAGGCATCATTACCTTTTCCCTAAATTGAACCTTAAAAGATTGGACTGGCAGCCACCTGGCAGCTCCATGGCTCATCTTCTTCTGCTACCCTCCATGAATTTTCTGTGTAGCCGTGGAAACCACTGGGGTCCTCTTTTACACTGTGGTGTATCACGGAAAATTGGGAGGAGTATGGTTACTACCATCTTTCCCCCGAGTACACCTCACCCTGTCCCTTTAAGGGCTGCTGACATGGGCCTTTCTACTACAGAAAGCTCAAGGCCAGACTCCATGTCTACGTATACTTCCCAAACTTCAGAGACACAGTTCTTCTTCCTCCTGGTGGAAGAAGGATACTGAAAAGGATAAAGTTCTACACTTCGGACTCTCAATGCTCTTCCAGAACCCACTCTTTATGACTGTACTCAGCATTAGTGATGGCACAAAAGAGAAGCTTTGTGTTCTACTGCTCAGCGCACATTCGGCCAGGTTCCTCTTGCAGGGCCTGTCAATCTTTATGGGATTCTCTTAGAGGTTTCCCCCTTTTCATTAAAAGGGGAGAAACCGTACTTTCATTTCATACCCAAACTCAACTCTCTCCCCAAATCTTAATGCCTCTCTCCCCAGTCAGCCTTCCTCTTGCTTTGATCGGGATGATGCCACCAAGTGGAAGGAGTTGTTGGATACACATTTTCTAAACAGGTTCTTCCCCGTAATCCCTGCTAGGAAGATGATGGGGTCCCCGAACATAGAACATGAGGTACATTGGTTCTTGGTTTTGGATCATAACAGCAACTTTAGAAATACATATCCTATTTGACGTCTTATTACATGTATAAAATTTCTCACACACACTACTAATCTATACATTTGCCATTAAGGATCTGGGTTGCAAAATGATACTGGAAAGTCCCAGGCAATGTGAATCTTTAAATGCTCACTTGCATCTCTTACAAATATAAAACTTGATTCCTTAACTAATTCCACAAATGAACCCTTTGTTACATAAGCTGCTTCTGTGGTTGTACCTGGCTCCCCTGAGGTGGACATGTCCTCATTCAGTGTGTTGTTCCTTCCCTTCCCTGGAAATGACTCCTGAAAAAAATAGATTGCACTTCAGAGAGAGTAGGAAAAGCCTCTCTCATACACCTAGGAACTACCAACTCTCTTCTTTGTAGCTACCAACTCCATAGTCTTTCATCCTCATCTTTTTTCACACAAAAAGAGAAAAATAGAGAATCTCCTACAGCAGATGAAGGGTCATACGAAGTTGCAATTTTCTTAACACTCACCTAGCAACAGGCCCAGTGAATTCTTTCCACCATATTTCTCTTGAGTATTATAACATAGACATAACAGTGTGGATAAAGATATAAATGTAGATATATGAAAAAATACATCAGGAAGCTCACTGCTGTGTAAACTCTATAGAGTTTTTCCTATAATACTGATTCCATTTTCCTTCTTTTTTATCTTTCCTACTTTTTTAAGAAAAAGTCATTGTTTTGTTATTGTCACAAAAATTTCTTTAGTTTTCTTTTCAGAGAAAACTAACTGAATGGGTCGAATTCATCCAATATATGACTCTGAAGCCAGACAGTCCTAGATTTGAATTCTGTACAACCTTGGGGTTTTATGTACCCAATAAGGTAGCAGAGTTTATGAAAAATGTATTTGCATGGAAGTGGTTTTTACAACTATCAACTTCACTTCTAAGAGCTCTGCATGGAACGTATAATAGGGAAGTAAAAAGTATAGTGGAGAAGATGTAATTCATTCATTCAGCAAATAATGATCAAGTGCATTCTAAATGCCAGACATACGTTGAAGGCTGAGGTAACAACAGTAAGTAAAAGAGACAAAAATCCTTCTGAGGGCGATCGCATTCTCATGGGAGGAGGTAATAAATGAATTAAAGAAGAAAAATATTGAATGTGTTAGAAGTTCATAAGTGCTAAAGGGATAAAAAGGAAGCATAGTCATCACCAATCCATAATTCAGTGATAGTGGGCTGTTGTGTACCCTAGTGAGATTTGCTTTTCTCCTCTGTGAAAGAGGGTTTGTGTAGATGATCATTAGCTGGCTTTTGGTACTGACATCCTGGGGGACTTTCCTTTCACTCTTTTCTGGTCTAGTTTGTTGGTGCTGAGTTTAGAATGGCCTCCATATAGGGAGTACTCCAGATCCATTCACTAAGGGAGGGAAAGATTTAGGTCAGACTTGTGTCTGGACAACTGATGTGATTCATAAATTTGCAGTAATTGCTTTTAATCTACTCCTTTTTCTTCTTTGGTCCTACAATTCGACTGGATAATCAAGCAACTATATATTAACTTTACCCTACAGACCTTAGACCACCTGTCTGTTTCCTGTTTTCCTGGCCAAGTATCCCTTCGGGGAAAATCTGATTGGAAACACAGCAGGATAAAACTCATTGCTCTCCTTTCTGTGTTCCATCTGTCTCCCCTCTCATCTGGGAGATCCCTTGTTCTCTTCCTCATTATTTCTCACGTTCAAGGCTAAGTTCTCCACCTGTGTGCCTGATCTACTGCTTCCCATCTTCTCCCAGATGTTGCTCCTATAAGTCCTACTCTTTCCCATCACCCCAGTATTTTAAATCTCTTCCTCTACTGACTGTTTCACACAAGCTGAAAATATTACCATGTTTTTCTATAGAACTCTTCACTCCCGGTTGGGTGTGGTGGCTCATGCCTGTAATCCCAGCACTTTGGGAGGCCAAAGCAGGCAGATCGCCAGAGGTCAGGAGTTCGAGACCAGCCTGGCCAACATGATGAAACTCCGTCTCTACTAAAAATACAAAAAATTAGCCAGGCGTGGTGTCAGGCACCTGTAATCCCAGCCTCTTGAGGCAGGAGAATTGCTTGATCCCGGAAGGTGGAGGTTGCAGTGAACCGAGATTGCGCCATTGCACTCCAGCCTGAGCAACAAGAGCAAGACTTCGTCTCAAAATCAAAACAAAATAAAAGAAAACAACAGCAACAACAAAACTCTTAATTCTCTCTAGCTAATGCTCTAATATTCATTTTTAATTCACCAATCATGCCTCTCTGAAAAATAGTCTGCATTTCACATATCCCCCTACTCGTACCCTATGAACTTTTAAGGCAATGATGCAGGCTTCTAACTGTAACTGCATTTGAAAGTGGTTTCAGAAAGGTCTTCACTGATACACTAATTGCCAAGTGTTTTCACCACTCTCTGCCTCATTTGACATTATTAGCCATAATCTTTGTAAATCTCACCCCTTAGTTATTATCTGGGATACCAATCTCTTCTGTAACCCCTCTTGTGTTCTCTCATAGGCCCTTTTTCTGTCTTATTTCTCCCTGAATGTCAATGCTGTTTCTTTCCTACTTCTCTCTTTTCACTTTAAATCTACTTGCTCATTCACTTTAAATCTACTTGCTCAATTTCAGCCACTGCATTATAATACTCAACTCTCCAGATACAAACACCTTTTTTAGAATCTTTATATCTGGTTTCCTCCTGGATAGTTGCATATTTGAATGTGGGGCATTGCCCCCGATATTCTATATCCTTAATAAAACCTACCCCCAAATGAACTCATAACAATCCTCTCCCCCTTGACAAACATGCTGTTTTTATACATTTCCTTTTCTGGTGAAGGGCTACCATCTACTCAAGATTATATTTTTCATATTTCCTGCATTGATACATATGAATCTAGTTATTTATTTTAACTACTTATAGACTATCTGGGTCAAATCCTGTTTCTGCCATTCACTAGTTTTGTGACTTTGGGCAAGTAAATTAACTTCTTCATGTTTGAATATTTTTCATCTGAAACATTAAACTTTTATAAGTAGTATATGAGGCTGTTATTTCATATGTTCATATAGTCATATGTATGTGTGTATATATTCATACACATATATTTACCAACACTAGTTGTTACTAGACATTTTAATTTTTGTCAGTCTTACGCATTTGAAATAGTGTGAAATGGCTGTCTCATTTTAAATGTCTAACCCCCACTGGGCTTTGCATGGAAAAATGAATACCAATTGGGCAAGTGCTTAGGAAAGTGCCTGGCATATAGTAATATCCCAGTAAATGTTACCTAGTGCTTTTATTGGTATTATTATGTATTATTTTTTGATAATTCTACAATACATGATTTTATCCTTTTACTTTTAATGAATTAGTCTCTAAATTTTACCTGTTAAAAGTCTTGTTCCCATTAATATGCTAATCTATTCTCTTTGCAGGTAATTGATTTGGGAATAGGCATATAACCAATGCTCACCAAAGATAGGTCTGGAAATGGTTTCCATACTCCTGTGTCGCAGGAAGATAGGGATTTTATATTCTTCTGGATATTGTCTGTCTGGATAAGATCCATGTTGCTGACACCAAGAAGGAGGCCAGTCTGTGATCTAAGCTGAGGTATTAAGAATGGCAGAATGAGAATTAGAAAGGACTGGATTCTGGAAGACTTGTAGAGCCGCTGCTCATTATAAGCCTGATTTTAATGGTGACAGTAGATTTCCATGGTAATTAAGTCAGTTTTATATAAGGTTCTTGATGCCTATAGTCAAAAGAATTCTAACTACACATTGTCCTATAATAGTTTTTAAAAATTTTATACTTCCACCAACAACATAAAAGGGGTTGTATTTATCCATTGCTTTATGAACACTTGGTATTACCAGCTCTTTTAATTTCTGAAAACTATATGGACGTGAAATTGTAGCTAGTTGATTTGTAATTTAAATCTCTGTGATTTTCTAGGTATATAGTCATATAATTCTTAAAAATCAATTTCTTTATTGATAGTTTCTATCTCATTTCTTTTTCTTCTCTCATTACATTTGCTAACACTTTCTAGTACAGTGTTGAGAAGAAGCAATCATGGTAACAGCAGCTTAAACGAAGTGGAAGTTTCTCTTTCTTACATTTCAAGAGGAGTGGAATCCGTCAGTTTGGGGCTGATATGGTGCCATATGTTGTTAGACACTCATTCCTTTTCCACCCTGGCATCCCTTGTTTCATGGCATCCTGCACATCAGCAGCAACAAGAAGAAAGAAGAATACAAGAAGAAAGAACAAGATCATGGGCCAGGTATGTATTATGGAAGACTCCTGGAAGCTGCAGCATAGAACTTGTATTCATTTGACTAAACTTACGCTTCAAGGCAGATATGTGGGGGAAAAACTAAGGTAGGAGATGTTTCTAATGGTTTGCCATCACTGTATTTGCTTGCTTTTTAGTAATAATTAGGTTAGGAAATTGACTTTCTATTACTACTTTTGTTCATTCTTTCTTTCATATGTTGATTTTTGGATTTTATTAAATGGTGCTGCATTCATTGATACAATGTTTTTCATATTGTCAATTTGGTGCATTACATTAATGTGTTTTCTAAATTTATATCCTCTTACTACTCTCAGAATAAACCATATTTAGTTATGAAATTGTTTTACCTTGCATATACACACATGCACACACAGTAGGAATCAGTTTACTATCTTTGTGTTATTTTGGCATCTATTTCGTAAATGATAAGGCCCAATAATTTTCCTGGTTCTATTATATTTGCAGCATCATTAGCAATCTCATATTAGTTTCATAAAATTAGTGGAGAAACTTTAACATTTTTTCTAAATCCTGGGGAAGTGTTATAAGAAAAGTGTTATCTATTTCTTGATAACTTTCTAAAACACAACAGTTAAAACCTATAGACCTGTTGCTTTTCTTGTATGTAGATTTTTTTCTCTAATGATTAAATATCTTTAATTGCTATAGATTTGTTTAGGTTTTCATTTATAGATGAGTACCTTTTGTTAATTTACACATTTGTAGATAACTAACACTTATTATTTTTTCCCACTTTTTCAGTTTTATTCTATTATTTTTCTAGCCCTTTAACTGTAGTTTAGATAAATAATGTTTAATCTGTCTTCAACTCTATATTAGGTAGAATATGCTATAGTCTGATATAATGAAAATCCAAACTAAATTTTCAGGAATATTTTGAATAAGACTCCAGGCCTCTGAAGACGGCTTAAAAGCTTTAAGAGCTTGAAATATTTTAATTTTGTTCCTCTCCTGTCCCTAAAGAATTGCCCTTATATGCATAGTAGAAGATTACTCAACAGCATAACTGCATTCCAGTCCATAGGTTTGGACAATGAGAGAAGAAAAAGATTTTTTTCTCATTTTTCATTGAGGACATAACTCAGAAAGTGTAATATCACTTCCATTCACTAGGACTAAAGAACAATACTCTCTTCCTCCACTTTGATTGGCTTGCATTGGTTCATTGGTTGCCTACACACACATACACACACACACACACACACACATCAATTTATATAAGTAATTTTAGACATTACATAATTTATCATGGTTGAATGGGTCTAGGTTCTAATCCTGGCTCTACAGCTTTTCAAACTGTAACATCCAAGAAATCATTTAAATTTTCTGAAACTTGTGCTTATCTGGAAAATGACAGTAATAAAACATATCATGAGGTTGTTGAAATGCTGAAAGTAAGGCAAGCGTGCAGTTCAGTGTCTGGCACCTGTTGGCATTCAGTAAATGTGCACTTCTGCATATTTACAGGAAATACTTCAGTAAAGGCATGATTACATGATTCCCAAGAAGTTCAGAAGAAACTGCTGTGTGATTTGCTTGCTATGTTCCTGCTCTGGGGACACAAGACATTGTTTTTGAAAGGTGACAATTCTCTAATCATGGTACACAGAGATAAATACTTTATTTTCCTCCAGGGAGAAAAAGAGATGCAGTAAATGCTTAATGGGTTTTTCTTCAATGCCACAAAGTCAGTAGCTATAAATCTTGAACACAAGTTGAATTGTTTTTGACTTTTTATTTCCTTAGGATGTTTTGACCGCATCATTAAACTCTATCACCTGTCATTGACCTAATTTTATCATGGAGTTCAAAGGATTAAATAAATACTTTAAAAAACAAAAAGGAAACAAAAAAAAAAAAAGAAAAGGAAAAGAGGTTCTATGCAGTTAGTCTGATGTCCCTGCTAATTCCTTTAATTTGCTATTAATTCTTTGTTTTTGCTTGAAAGAGTGCAGATGAAGCTAAAAAACTCTTGACTTTCTTTTATGGCATTGTATTTCCGTAAGAAGGGAGGCTATAAGGAGTCTAGCTCAATTTTTCTTATTTTATTTAATATTTATCAAGAGCAATATCTAAGAATAAGATGAAAAATGCTTGTCACAAACTCATTTAAGTGAATTTTGAAAATGTAGGTTTAGAGGTTCTTGTTATTATCCTTTATCTCACAGATTGGTATACCTAAACCTTAGAATTCAAACATCATCCTGTGCACACTCGCTAGAACAAGTGTTTACTGCACAAAACAGAAATTAGTTAGATGGGATTTTTTTCTCTTGAATGAATATGAAATGAGGCCTAAGAAATGTATTTTTACCCCCCCCGAGAAGCAAGTAATATAACTTGTTTCGTATTATACATTTCTATCCAAAATCTCATCTAGGAAAAAAAATCAGTTAATTCTAAAGTTGATAAGATAACTTCAGGGGAAAGATGAGAACAGATCATGGGAGAAAGACAGAACAGAGTCGGAGAGACACAGCAACAGCCACATGGACAGACAGACAGAGAAAGAGACAATAAGAGGGAGAGAATGACAGAGAGCGAGGCACTTCCCTCTGCATCTAAGTGGTCACTTGCTCCCTTGGTTTGTGTCTGCAGGCTGCCAAGTACAGAGTGGGGGCAGAGAAAGCAAGAGCAAGTAACTTCACAAAATCTCCATAAACTCATTTTAGTTAAAAATTTGCACTTCTTCTATCAAAACATGTTTTTTTTTTTTCTTCTTAAGACTACTCATATAAGGCTAGGTGCAGTGGCTCATGCCTGTAATCCCAGCACTTTGGGAGGCTGAGGCAGGAGGATTGCTTGAAGCCAGGACTTCAAGACCAGGCTGGACAGCACAGCAAGACCCATCTCTACATTTTTATTTAAAGAAGCCAGGCACAGTGATTTATATACCATTGGAAGAACTGAGACATTTGATGTTTGCCTTCGTTTTTTTTTTGCCTTCCTCGATCTGTCTCAGGGGAAGGTGCTATTCCTAGAGAAAAGAACTCAATACCTCCCAAGGCACAAGCAAGGCAAACCCCACCAAAGGCCACATCTAGGCTATTATCTTACAATGATATTTAGTGTTTTCCCCCAGTCAAATGGATCTGGCTTCCAAAGTTTAAATCCAGTTTTACATAAGCAATCTATGCTCTTGATTTCTTTCCCTTAGACTTCCTTTCCACTCACAGCTATCATTATTGGATTTCCTGAGAAAATTGTTTTTTTCCCAAACTAAAATTAACCTTTGTTGAATTAGATTTTCCACAAAATAACATGAAAAGGGCATTTTTTGCAAATATAACTGATTGTTCCAATAGTGGTGGAGATAGCTTGAACTGAGAAAATATGCATACTTTGAGGTAATGGTGAAAAAGAAACAACCTGAAGGGAAGCTTTATTTTGATGAGTAACTTTCTTGATTTACATTCCCACTCTACCACGCTATGTGCAGCTGAATCAAGAGTTGATCTCTTGTAGCCACATTTCCTTCTGCTCATCCCTGCAGTGTGCCTATGACACAGCCATCTGTCACATGGTATGACTGTAACCCCCACTCATTCAGCATTAGCCATACCAAGTGTAATGAAAAGCAGAACAATATCCTCCACACTTAGTTAAAATGTCACGGAAAGCTGTGAAAAACACACACACAGAGTGTTCTGTGTGTCCATTTTTCAGCATGATATATTTTTAGTGTTCTGTAGCCAGGAAGTCTTAATTCAAATCGAAGAAAAATATCAGTGGACTGCATATGGTATACTTCTCAGCATCTTTAAACACATTTGAACTAAACAACATCATCCCCACTGTATTTTCCAGGACTAGACTGTCACTGCTAACATGTACAACCCCTCCATATCAGGGGATGGAAAAGCACAAGGAGGAATCATTGCCGGGCATTTTTCCTACCTTCCTGGATTTTCTCAGGGTTCTCACTAGTCCTTCCTTATCTCCCCCATATCTTATGGGGCCTTGAACTTGAGCCTCTTCTCTTTTATGGTCTTTCCTATTTACATTCATCCCCTACTCTCACCCAGACCCAGGTCTTTAGCGATCATCTATATATTGATGATTCCCAAATTCATATTACCAGCATGACCCTTCCCCAAAATTTAAATTCCTATATCCAGCTCCTGACTTGAATTCTTCACTTGGATGTGGAAGAAGCAGCTCAAACTGAATATGTTAAATATGTCCAGACACCGGCCCCCAAACATGCTTTCCCACCTGAGTTCATGGCAACTTCAATTTTCGAGTTGTTCTGCCTCAAACGTCTTAGTAATCTTTAAATACTTTCTTTTTCTTATAACCTAAACCAAATCGGCAGCAAGTCCCATTGGCTTACCTTAGAATACATCAACAACTCACCCACTTCTATTCACAACTGCTACCATTTGTTCTAAGCCACAACCACCTCTCATGGGCATTCACAGATTGCCCCCAACTGATCTCCATGCTTCCACCCTTCCCTCCCACCGACCACACCCCCTGCAGTCTACTCTCTTCACAATCATCAGTAATGTTTACAGGTAAGTTAAATCGTGTCACTCTTCTTTTCAAAACTGTCCAGTCATTCCTCGTGTCACAGTAAAAGTCATAGTCCTAACATCTTATGTGATTTTTCCTTCACTCCATTACCTTTCTGATTCTTCCGGCCATATTGGCCTCCCTGATGGTCTTATTTGCAAACACACACATTAATTAATTAGGAGGGCAGGAGGAAACTTTGGGAGGTGATGGACATGTTTATTGCATTGATTGATGGTGATGGTTTCACAAGTGTATATTTATCTCCAAATTCATCAAGTTGTATACATTAAATATGTACAGCATTCATTGTCAATTATACTTCAAAAACTGGCTTTTTAAAAAAAGAACCATCACTAATGTTAAAAGTCTTTCACATTTGGTATTCCTACTTGATGCTTAACTTTATCCTTTATTTTAAATTACTTTGTGTGTTGGCTATCCTTGCAACCAGAATGTAGGCTATTTGAGAGCAAGTTTCTTTCTCTCTCTCATTAATTTTGTTCATCCCCAGCACTTAAAACAGTGCCTGGAATATAATGAAAGACAGAAAGAAGAAATATAATGGAAGGAAAAAGAGAAAAAGAAAGAAAGAAAGAATAAAAAGAACAAATGAATGAAGGAAGGAAGAAATAGAGAAAAGAAAGGAAAGAAAGAAAGAAAGAAGAAGAAAATGAAGATGAAGAAAGAGGAGGAGGAGGAAGAGGAAAGGAAGGAAGGGGGGAGAAATAGAGAAAAAGAAGAAAGAGAAGAAGAAAATGAAAACAAAGAATAAGGAGGAAGAGAAGGAAGAGGAGGAGGAGGAAGAGGAAAGGAAGGAAGGAGAAAAAGAAAGAAAAAGAAAGAAAGAAAAGGAGAAGAAGAAGAACATGAAAACGAAGAATAAGTAGGAGGAGGAAAAGGAAAGGAAGGAAGGAAAGAAGGAAGGAAGGGAGAAGGGAAGGAAGAGGAAAGGAAAAGAAAAAGGAAGAAAGGAAAGGAAAAAGAAGAAAGAAATGAAAAGGAGAAGAAGATGAAAATGAAGAATAAGGAGGAGGAGGAAAAGGAAAGGAAGGAAGGAATGAAAGAAGGAAGGAGTGGAGAAGTGAAGGAAAAAGGAAGAAAGGAAAGGAGGAAAGACGGTTTTTTTCCTTCAGTGCTGGAAAAGTAGCCTACTAATGGAAAATGGTGCTTTAATTTTAGGGAGTACTTTTCTTCTTTATGAATATATATATATATATATTAAATGACTCTACTACCCCTTTTTTATTTGCTTCTTCATTTTTCATCTCCCTCTTACCACTGCCTCTCAAAATATTTAGTGAAAGGTGTTGGAAGATGGGGAATGGGGAGCAAAGTGTTGAAAATGGTTTGGGATGAATGAGATTAAGAAGATGTAGTAAACACACATACACACATATGCAGAGATTGCTTCTTCCATTAAGGCAAACCTCACTTCATTAATCCATGTAAAATGTCCCAGGTGTCTTGTTATTCTATTTCTAAAAATTCCAAAATGTAATAGTTTTTAAAAGTATATTTTTAGTAATTCCTAACATTGAAAGCACTGACATAATTTATTGCATGTTGAAAAGGCCACAGGAAATGAACTCCACAAAATGATAGGATAAGCAAAGAACCAATGCTTAACACAACTTTATGCCATGGGCTCCAAGAATGGCAGAATAGATGAATAAACAAAGTAGTATAGAATTCATAATATATTAATGTCAATATGTAAAGTGTAGTCACTATTTAAGAATACAGACTATAGCAGTACAATGTAAAAAATACGTAAAAATGAAGTAATTAGGCTCTTTCATTTATCATAAAATCAAGAAGTGATTTATCCTCATTTCCCTAAATCCTGTGTTTTGAAGAACTAGCTGAATAAATTGCCTCAATAAATACAAAAATTTGTCAAGTTTGAGGAATAGCTAGTACAAAGCTAATGAGTAAAAGTTTATAAGAATATTCTCTATTCCAAAATATGCAAAGTATATATTGCTTAGATAATATATCTAGCTAATGTTCATCAGCAAGTTAGCTTACAAGGAACTATTATTTATCAGTGTATGGCCATTAAGCTCCCATTATAGTGCATAATTTCGTAAAGAGAGTAGAGAATGCGCCAAAGTGTCTGTTGAATTAAACACTCATCCCAAATATGAACAAAATATGTTGATGACTCTTTTTCAAACTCTTACAGTTAAAATTCTTACCTTTTGCATATGGGTGAAGCTAAAGAATACTGGCTTGGAATAATGTTTTTAATGCTTAAAATATAAAGGAAACCAGTATATTGAAATGGTGTCAAAAAATTAAGAAAACATTTATGGTAATATTTCTTATTTAAACATTAAGTAACAAGCAAAATCTAACAATTGGTCTAATGACTACCACAATATTAAAATAGGAATGAGAATAAAATTTCTAAGTATCTATAATAAATACACTGTTATGTAAATATCTTATTTCTATTGGAGACAAAGTCATCGATACTACTAATACGAATGTTTTGGGTTGTCTGCATTCATAATGGTAGGAAATGTCTAAATTTAAGTTATAGGTTAGTAAAAATAAAATGTACCTTTTTCCCATCTAAATCTGCAACCCCCCTAGATTTTCTATCTACATATCTCTTGAGGATGGGGGGAGTCCCTATGTAGGAATGCTTGGTTTAGCACCACTTTTGATTAAATGGTGTTTTCTTGAGCCTGTTAAATGATGCATGTTTTTCTTTTCCTCTTTAAGGATTAATGTTTGGTTAAAATATATACGTATATGCCTTTTGTAAAGATTAACTGTCATTTTAGTTGTGATAGATACTCACTTATCCCAAGGTAGCACATCCATAAGTATATTCATGTTTCTTTCCATGTTTCCTCCCATATTCTCAGTAAAAACTTTGCTGTCCTGTGCATTCTCCAAATTAGGTTGCAGAAAGCATTTGCTTAAATGAAATGCTCATTTGTGATGCTTAATCAAAAGGGGAAAAGCTTTTCCCCAGCTTTTTCTAACTTGACACATGAAATAGCTTAAAGTATTTTCAATGAGACTCATTTATGTGGTTGCTGATTAGTAGCTGGCTGCTTGTTTGGGGTGATTGATACTCATTTCTGGAGAACTAGGAAATGGAGTTTTGCCAAATTTAGAAGCTGACCCACTCTAATGGGGTCTGTAGTTTTGAACTAAAAAAAAATGAGTCTTTGGGTGTTTAAATTTGTTTGCTCTTGGCAAAATACATCTCAAAAGACTTCCTGGAAATCCTATAATTGTTAAAAATTAACCTTAATGACTTCAATGACTTCAATTATATTAAAAAGTTTAGAGTGTTTTTGCTTTTCAATGAAGGTTAATCCCTCGGGAAAATATGTGTGGGTTTATAGTGAACTTCAGATGTATACATGCTATGAAATCTTCAGAAACCCAGAACAGATTCTGAGTCATTAATGCAGGGGTGGTTTGGATCGTAAAGATCTGTCCTCAAATTAGAAGGCCAGAGTATCATCTTAACTTTACTTCTGCTAGTCTGCAGCACTTGTCAGTGACAAGAGTCTTAAGATTCTATGATTGTTTAAATGTGACTTAGAAGGTCTGACACTAACCCAATTTTCCTTAGGGAACTTATTGAGAAACACACAAAGAGAGGCTTTCAACACATCCATCAGGAAAAGATGGAAGTTGATATTGAATGAATCCTCTATGACAATTAATTTTAAATAATGTATGTCCCAAACACCCACAGTATACAAAGTCAAAATTAGTATTTTGGAATATAACCTAAATAAGTAATAGTTTTTCCTTATAAAGCTAATAATCCAAAAAATAAATATCTTTCCAATATATCCACTTCAGATTGTGCTCGTTTAAAATGTTTAATATTTGCAGTCATCCTCATTTATTCAACAAATATGTACTAAACACTTACAATGTCCTAGGCTCCGTGCCAAGTATGCCAAACATAAAAATGGATAAATTACAGGCCCTTCTCTCAGTGAGCTCCCAGGGTAGGGAGAGACTAAGAGTTAAATATTCTTTAAGGACACTAGCTCCTTCCACTTTGGGTAGCTCCACTTCATATCTAGATGTTGTATCCTTGTGCTTTCTTCTTTCTCTTGGAATTAGAGAAAAAATTAGACACCTTTAGTATTCCTGCATTATGTATTTCATAAACTCATGCTACAAAATTAAGGCTAAGAAATATACTTCCCATTTTTACAGAAGCTTGGCATTGGTGTGAGTCACAGACTAAGAGAAAAATCATTCTCCCTATTAGAATCTGCTGATATGAAAATGTCCTTCCTCGGTTTCTTAGCATTTTTCCACTTTAGTCACCAGTAAGTCCTACATCCTAAGAAAGGAAACTGTTTTATAAAGTTTGAAATTTTAATAAATTCAGTTCTTATAAGAGGTTTGACAACGAGGGCAAAAACCTTGAGATGAATACTGTATTGTCAAGAGTGGGCATACTGCGGCTTTATTTAGTCATGCTTTTCCTTGAGTTATTTCTTATCAAGAGAGTTAATTAACAATTGCAGTATTTAATTCAGCCTTAAAAAGAGTCATTAGCCCACTCATCAAGAAAGACTGACAAACTGTTCCTTACTGTTTATGAAATCTTGATTATACCTCAAAGGCTATTCTCACCTCTCCAACAGGCTAACAATCTGTGAAAAGAATTATGGGTAAAAGTGATTTTGGAAATGCTTAGAATGGATCCCAGCTGTGTAGACCAAAAAAGAAAGATAAAAGAGGAAAGAGAGAAGTAGAAAAAGACTAGGCCATGAGAGGAACAATGGAAATGACATAGGAATGCATGATAATGGGAGAAAAGTTCAGCCAAAAAAAAAAAAGCAACTAGTATCAAAGTTAGAGTTTTCAAAGTGCCTGGAACTAAGGAGTAAAACAGATGATGGAGTTTGAAAAAAAAAATTTGGAAATTTATTGACTCTTATAGACTTAAAGAAGCCCTGTAGGACTAAAAATAATTAAGATGAGCCAAGTTCAAGAGACATGAGTTTCCACTGCTCTTTTTATGTAAAAACATTTGAGAAAACCAATTTTTTTAACTAGAGAGTAAAGAAAATTAACAGTCACAGTGCTTGTAGAATAAAAGACAACTTGGAGGATGAGAAAGCAGTGGAAGAAAAAAAAGGAACTCATGTCTCAGTAGCTTTTGGAAATTGAATTGTTGATATGGGGGGCAATAGTTCAAATGAGGTTCACTTTCAACTTTACTATTTAAAAAAGAGGATAAGTTTGCTTGGTTTTGAAGGGGCTGTGAAAATATTGTGTGCTTAAATTGACCTCAGTTTCTGTTAATGTTGGGCCACTGTTTTGTAAAAGGTGATTATTTTTCAGTAGCAGTTTTTGTTTGTTTGCTTCAGTAGCGTGATTATTTTGCAGTGTGTGGGGTCTCAGTTGTTAGGTTGAAGAACTATAAACTATTTTTCAAATTATCATGTACAAAAATGTATGTGCTGACATTGGCACAAACTCTATCCCACAGTTCACTCTATTGTTTTCCTGCTGCTTCTTAACTACTTCTATTTCTTCCCCAAATTTTTAGAATTAATTTTTTAAAAGTTTGCTGTAAACACACACACACACACACACACACACACACACACACACACACACACTTCTTTGTCAAATGGATTCAGCCCCAAAAGAAAGAGAATAAAAGGACAGAGAACACTTTCAATTTATCTTATTGCTACTAGAAAATTTCCATTAGAATTTCACTTTCATTTCACGAGCGTTACTATGAGCCCTTCTAGGTTCTGAAACAATGGAGAGGCCCTCATTTTGAGACTCTATCAGTCTCCTACAAAGTTTTGTTCTCATTTTATGCATTCTGTAATGAACACTAAAAGGATTAAGTCCCCACTGGAGTTTTATTAGCTGGAAGGGAGAATTTTAATTTACTTATTCTAGAATATAGATGCAACTGGGTGTGGTTTTCTACATGACTTAAGAAAAGTAGCTGGTGTCATAGTCTGGGATTCTATGACAGAGTGAAACTGATGTTCTATGAACAAGCTTTCTTAGAGCATTAGCTTCCAGGGATCTTCTGTGGCCAGCAACTTGTCTTGCCCTCTTCAGGGTTCCCTTCTCTAAAGGAAGGGCCCATGAATGATGAAACTGATGTCCTTTCAATTTCAAGAATTTGGAAAGTTATTCGTATCTTTGCTTCTTCAGCTGAGGTTGCCAAAAATTTTCTGTGCTTTCTTCTTACCGTATCTAATATATTAGGTTTAGTCCCCAGTAATACTGGGGTTTTTTAATGAATGTAAACAGTATGACCAAAGGCTTATTTAAGGATATAGGTTTCTGGCTAGAGTGTAATTTCTAAGCCAATTCACTCTTTTTCTGAACATGAGGAAGTTAGTTCATCATACTTGACTGGAACATTTTTATATAATCCCTAGAGTGAGCCTTTTCACTTAGGCTCAACACTAAAGCTCAAACAGGCACCAACTGATGTAAACGTTAAACCTAATTTTACCTAGAGAATGTGCTTGTATGCAGCCTACAAAATATAAGGGAAGTTTGCCCATCAGCTGCTACTCCTGCTTGCTTAGTCTTCGCATGGGAAGACTTTCATCTGACAGAACTAGTTGTCTGTTTCTTCTCAAAATTAAGTTTCCTTAGTGATTTTCCCACCCTCATATTTATAATTATATCTGGTTCACTGAGACATGGAAATCAATAGAGGATGTACTGTTTTTCTCAGGAGGATGGCAGCCAAGTGAGATGTGTAAACCTTAGTCTGTCTCTGCATTTCCCATCCCTGCCCTGTGGCCAGGCTGTAACAGTTAACTCCTTTTTGGTAGTACTCAGTTTCCCCACTAGTAATTTGGCCTCCATTCCTATAATATAATCATGTCTTCTGAGATGAAAAATAAAATAATTTCTGTAGAGTTATGATCTAACAAGGAAGGCATATAGATACAGAGAGAGAATTAATATCGGGGATACAGGGCAGGCAGACATTTTAGAAGATGCCTATATATTTTGTTAATTTCAAACATAGTTCTCCAGTGGAGCAGGAATGCCCATAGAGCCTCTTGCAATCCGAGAACTGTTTGACTGCAGTTTACTCAGAGATTCACCCAAATATAAGGCCAATTATTTGATGATTGTTAGAGTGAATGGATGAATGGCCTATGACAAAGTCACCACCAAAAATCACCACCACCCTCTTACCCTCATGATCTCAAGAGGACATCTAAACTGGCTTAAGGACTTTCTTCTCTAACAAGTCCTAAAATAGATGTGAGAGACAGAGACAGACAGACAGATAGGGACTCAGAGAGATCCTCTCCTTCTAAATTATGGACAACTAGGAACTTGGAGTTACAAAATACATATTATATTCATACAATCCTAAGCCCTTGCAGCTGTGAAGACAGATCTCAGCAATTTTCAGCTCTTAGATATACACATCCTGGGGGAGGGCAGGCCTAAGGTAACATTGTTTTTATTCCCACCTTTGCTGTCCCATGGCCCAGGCTGAACATGATCCAAGAAATGCTAGTTCATCACATTTATAACACAGCTGTGCATAAAATGGGGCCAAAGCGTCACACATCTCAGTTCTGGCCTCTCTCTTTAGAGGTATTTTCTCATAGCCTCATATCCTCACCTCTGGTACCTCCCTTATCCCCCTGAGCCATCTCTACAACAGCAGGACCATGTCTTCCCACATGGAAAGTTCCAGTACCTTTTGTCCTGCAGAAGAGTGTTGCATACAGCATGACTGTGTGGTTTTGTAAGAGCTGTGGATATACATAGTGACATATCTTTCTTGGACTGTACAGTGTGTGAGGGTGGACTCTCTCATGGACACGTTATCCAAGACAGCCTCTGTTCTTTACAGGCAAGAGAGCAGGAGAATACTTGGACGATGCTTCAAAATGTACAGCAAAACCTTGGCTTCCAGTCAAGGACAGAAGGCTGGGGGGCTTAGGAGGAGGTTAAGACTCCCTCAGCATTTATAATATAGACCAGACTTGAATCCATATGGCATTGTAACAGCAATCATTGTGGTTTCACTCTCCAGCCAATTCTGATCTTAGCAGGGAAGGAGTGTTTCTTTTGTTGGGTGTGCCCTTCCTCTTTTCTGAATATTTTGGGGCCTGCATTGCCTATCAAATAGTTGAAAAGATGGAATTGTTCATATGTTACTCAGTTTTCACCGAAGAGTTGAAACTATCAAAAATCTGAGAAACTCATCTTGTTCTTACAAAATTGGCTTATTTCAGGAAGAGCTGAGAACTTTCAGAAAAGGACACATTCAAAAAATGGTATGTCACAAGTGAAATATATTGACAGTCCATAGCTTATCCTTGGGCCTTCCCCTCCCTGGATTCAAATTAAGTCAAATCTTTTCAATAATATTCTCACTGTGGTCCTAGATCTGCCTCTTGGGTAACAAGTAAATAGGTAACAAATCAAATCTCTTTTTCCTTCTCTTTGGCACCCTTTAAGACATAAAGGGGCTATAGGGACACTTTGGCAAAATTTACCAAGATTCTGTATAAACATAAAAAAGAAGGCTAGAATATCGCCATAAAAATGGAATGTCTTGGTTTGCATAGTTTCCAGAAATAAAACTAATTCTAAATATAGTGTATTCTAAATCAGAATAATAGCTTTGAGGTTATTTGAAGACTGAAACATGGAGGAGCCATGATACCACGCAACTTTCTATCATTAGACTCGCTCAGTCTCCTGGCCTTATGAGTCCTTCTCTCATAGGATCCCTGTTACTCTCCCACTGGATAGGGAACAGGGAAGAGGTGGCAGAAAGAAAGGGAGGAGAAGGAGTCGAGAGAAGTAAAGCCCACAAATCCAGGAGAAAGGAAGTGTCTAGAGTGGAATTGGGAATATGGGGAATTAGACTCTGATGCATATGGAATTGTGACTCTCTAATAAACATTTTTTACAGTTGGAAATAACATTGCAGTATAAAGATTTGTATAGAATTCTTTAATAGAAGACCAGAAAATAAAAGGCAGAGTGTGTAGAAGGATTTGCTGAAAATAAATCGGGAGGCAAGAGGGTCTTAAGGTTGTCATTGCTTGTTAGTGCTTGGCTGCCCTGGGAGGCTTGGAAGTGAACACTAATGGCTTATTGGGACAGAAAAGGTTTTCCTGCATCAGCATACTCTTCTTTCTAACCCTAACTCAATCCCCTGGGGGGCGGGGAGTCAAAATCTCCTTTAGTCATTACAAAAAGTATGTTTATTGAGCTATTTCAGGTCACTCGACATTTATCAAACCCCTCAGAAATTTCCTGGTGAAGAAACAGTCCTGTGACTTTAGATAAAAAATTAAAGAAAAATAAAGTTATGGCAAATGGTAACCTCTCACCATGTAATGACAAAAGTGGTTCAAATCCAATTCAAGTCTGTTAAAGGTCCTCAGGGTTTAGTAAGATGTGTCAGCCTACAAGGTGCAAAAGTGAGATTATTGTTTTCCTCACTAGCTAGGAACTGAGGCTATTCTAGAAGCTGAAATAATCATTTGGTAAGAGGTCATTTTTTTTTTCATTTGTTGTTTATTTATTTGTTATTTTTATTTTTTAGAGCAGGGTCTCACTCTGTTACCCAGGCTGGGGTGCCGTGGTGCAATCACAGCTCACTTCAGCCAGGAACTCCCAGGCTCAAGCAATCCTTCCACCTCAGCCCCTCGAGTAGCTGGGACTACAGGCATGCAACCCCATGCTGGCTAATTTTTTTTTTTTTAATTTTTGTAGAGATAGGATCTCGCTATGTCATTCAGGCTGGTCAGAAGTCATGTTCTTAACCACAAAATGTAAGTCAATTGAAATTACAGTTCTGTTTGCAAGGCATGGGATCCCTTTAATGCGCATCATGCTGTAAAGGTAGTTGACAGAAAATATTTAGGTGGCTTCATTCATCACATCCTGCCTAGCTATGTTGTTGTTTGCTAAAGTATGGCAACATTAAATTGAAATGTTTTAACTAGAACTGAGAAAACTTGAAAGTGTCTGCCCATGTAAACACATTTATTTTCCTTAAGAAAAGGAGGAATTTGAGAGGGAAAAGAGAGCGCCAGTCCTGGCCACACTCAGAAACCTGAGGAAGGAGCTCAACTTCTGATTACACCTAAATTGAAAGTATAATGATGCCTTTGTCAGTGTCACTCTGAAAGGAGCATGTTCAAACATGATAACTTTGAAGCCCTCAGTCAATCAGTTTGGACATCAGTTTTTATCTTTTGCCAATTAAGTCACTAGAGTTCTACTTTTTTGCTACAAGCACTGCCAAATTTCTTACCACCCAACAATTATCCCCAAAAACGTGTGAAGAAAGAGATTTGGATGGTGAAAATAAATAAATGATACAAAGTAACTAACTTTTGACCTTGGAATTTTAAATGTAGTCCAATCCACACTGGGGAGAAACATAATTTATACCTGTGTGCAAACATTTATTCTCACCTGTTCTTTCATTCTTCTGGTAAAGAATCCTAGACATTTGTAACATTAGTCAGATGAAAAAATTATATGGAGGTTGGGGGGGTATGCTGAATAAGAGTCCTAAGGTCTAAAAAGGAAAATAAGATTAGTTCTTATGCTAGGCCAGGCGCGGTGGCTGATGCCTATAATCCCAGCACTTTGGGAGGCCAAGGCAGGCAGATCATGAGGTCAGGAGATCGAGACCATCCTGGCCAACATGGTGAAACCCCATCTCTACTAAAAGACAATAAATTACTTGGGCATGGTGGTGCACTCTTGTAGTCCCAGCTACTCAGGAGGCTAAAGCAGGAGAATCGCTTGAATCCAGGATGTGGAGGTTGCAGTGAGCTGAAATTGTGCCACTGCACTCCAGCCTGGCTACAGAACAAGACTCTGTCTCAAAAAAAAAAAAAAAGGATTAGTTCTTATCCTGAAGGCTAGTAGTGAAGACAGAGGCTGTATTAGTTTCCCAGGATTTTCATAACAAAATAGCACATATTAAGTTGTTTAAACAAGAGAAATTTATTTTCTCATAGTTCTGGAGGTTTCTTCTGAGATCTCTCTCCTTGGTTTGCAGATGTCCAGCTTCCTGCTGTGTTGTCACGTGGTCTTTTCTCTGCGTTGACCACTTTTCTAATGTCTCAATGTCTCTTTGTGGCTCCACATTTCCTCTTCTTATAAGGATACCAGTTAGACTATATACCTCATTTTATTTTTATTATCTCTTTAAAATCTTTATCTTCAAATACAGTCACTGTATTAGGCTGTTGTATTGCTATTAAAGAAATACCTGAGACTTAGTAATCTAAAAAGATTGCCCTAGTAAATGTTGTCTGTGGGAACTCTGCCCCTGAAGCAGCCTTCTGCCTGGATACCCAGGCTTTCTCATATATCTTCTGAAATCTACGTGGAGACTGCCAAGCCTCAACTCTTGCAGTATGTGCACTCTCAGGCTTAACACCACATGGAAGCCACCAAGTCTTACAGCTTGCACCCTCTGGAGCTGTGGACCAAGCTGTAACTGGGCTTCTTTGAGCTGAGGCTGGAGCTGGAACAACCAGGATGTTGGAAGCAGTGTCCTGAGACTGTGCAGGGCAGCAAAGGTCCGTGAAATGCCTTTGAGGCCTTTTTCCCATTGTCTTGGCTATTCACACTTGGCTCTTTTTTGGTTATCCAAATCTCTCTAGCAAGTGGTTCCTGCACAGCCTGCATAAATTCTTCTCCTAAAAATGCTTCTTCTTTCCTTGCCACATGGCTAAGCTGCAAATTTTCCAAACTTTTACACTCTGCTTCCTGTTTAAATATAATTTCCAACTTTAAGTCATTTCTTTGCTTCTACATCTGTGCATAGGTTTTCAGAAGCAGTCAGATTACATCCTGAATGCTTTGCTGCTTAGAAATTTCTTCTGCCAAATACCCTAAGTCATCAGTTTCAAGTTCAAACTTCCACAGATCCCTGGGGCATGAACAGAATGTAGCCAAGTTCTTTGCTAAGGCTTATGCCTTCGCAAACATAGGTAACCTTTGCTTTAGTTCCCAATAAGTTCCTCATTTCCATCTGAGACTTCATTAGCCTGGACTTCACTGCCCATATCACTATCAGCATTTTAGTCACAACCATTTAATCAGTCTCTAGGAAGTTATGCGTCTTCCATCAAGCCATCCAAACTCTTCTAACCTCCGGCTATTAGCCGGTTCCAAAGCTGCTTCCACATTTTTGGGTATCTTTATACTGAAATGTCCCACTCCTCAGTATCAATTTTCTGTATTAGGCAGTTCTCGCATTGCTATAAATAAATACCTGAGGCTGTGTAATTTATAAAGAAAAGAGGTTTAATTGGCTCAAGATTCTGCAGGCTGTACAAGAAGCACAGTGCTGGCATCGGCTTGGCTTCTGGGGAGGCCTTGGGAATCTTTAATCATGGAAGAAGGCAAAGAAACAACAGGATTTTCACATGGCCAGAGGAGGAATAAGAGAGAGAGAGAGAGAGCAGACTTTTAAACAGCCAGATCATGCTAGAAGCGACTCACTAACATGAAGACAGCACCAAGGGGATGGTGCTAAGACATTCCTAAGAAATTTGCCCCCATGATCCAATCACCTCCCACCTGAATGGTATTGCCTAGGTTTTCTTCTAGGGTTTTTATGGTTTTAGGTCTAACATTTAAGTCTTTAATCCATCTTGAATTAATTTTTGTATAAGATATAAGGAAGGGATCCAGTTTCAGCTTTCTACATACGGCTAGCCAGTTTCCCCAGCACCATTTATTAAATAGGGATTCCTTTCCCCATTGCTTGTTTTTCTCAGGTTTGTCAAAGGTCAGATAGTTGTAGATATGCGGCGTTATTTCTGAGGGCTCTGTTCTGTTCCATTGATCTATATCTCTGTTTTGGTACCAGTACCATGCTGTTTTGGTTACTGTAGCCTTGTAGTGTAGTTTGAAGTCAGGTAACGTGATGCCTCCAGCTTTGTTCTTTTGGCTTAGGATTGACTTGGCAATGCGGGCTCTTTTTTGGTTCCATATGAACTTTAAAGTAGTTTTTTCCAATTCTGTGAAGAAAGTCATTGGTAGCTTGATAGGGATGGCATTGAATCTATAAATTACCTTGGGCAGTATGGCCATTTTCACAATATTGATTCTTCCTACCCATGAGCATGGAATGTTCTTCCATTTGTTTGTATCCTCTTTTATTTCATTGAGCAGTGGTTTGTAGTTCTCCTTGAAGAGGTCCTTCACGTCCCTTGTAAGTTGGGTTCCTAGGTATTTTATTCTCTTTGAAGCAATTGTGAATGAGAGTTCACTCATGATTTGGCTCTCTGTTTGTCTGTTATTGGTGTATAAGAATGCTTGTGATTTTTGTACATTGATTTTGTATCCTGAGACTTTGCTGAAGTTGCTTATCAGCTTAAGGAGATTTTGGGTTGAGACAATGGGGTTTTCTAGATATGCAATCATGTCATCTGCAAACAGGGACAATTAGACTTCTTCTTTTCCTAATTGAATACCCTTTATTTCCTTCTCCTGCCTGATTGCCCTGGCCAGAACTTCCAACACTATGTTGAATAGGAGTGGTGAGAGAGGGCATCCCTGTCTTGTGCCAGTTTGCAAAGGGAATGCTTCCAGTTTTTGCCCATTCAGTATGATATTGGCTGTGGGTTTGTCATAGATAGCTCTTATTATTTTGAGATACGTCCCATCAATACCTAATTTATTGAGAGTTTTTAGCATGAAGGGTTGTTGAATTTTGGCAAAGGCCTTTTCTGCATCTATTGAGATAATCATGTGATTTTTGTCTTTGGTTCTGTTTACATGCTGGATTACATTTATTGATTTGCGTATATTGAACCAGCCTTGCATCCCAGGGATGAAGCCCACTTGATCATGGTGGATAAGCTTTTTGATGTGCTGCTGGATCCGGTTTGCCAGTATTTTATTGAGGATTTTTGCCTCAATGTTCATCAAGGATATTGGTCTAAAATTCTCTTTTTTGGTTGTGTCTCTTCCCGGCTTTGATAACAGGATGATGCTGGCCTCATCAAATGAGATAGGGAGGATTTCCTTTTTTTCTATTGATTGGAATAGTTTCAGAAGGAATGGTACCAGTTCCTCCTTGTACCTCTGGTAGAATTCGGCTGTGAATCCATCTGGTCCTGGACTCTTTTTGGTTGGTAAGCTATTGATTATTGCCACAATTTCAGAGCCTGTTATTGGTCTATTCAGAGATTCAACTTCTTCCTGGTTTAGTCTTGGGAGGGCGTATGTTTTGAGGAATTTATCCATTTCTTCTAGATTTTCTAGTTTATTTGCATAGAGGTGTTTGTAGTATTCTGTGATGTTAGTTTGTATTTCTGTGGGATCTGTGGTGATATCCCCTTTATCATTTTTTATTACATCTATTTGATTCTTCTCTCTTTTCTTCTTTATTAGTCTTGCTAGCGGCCTATCAATTTTGTTGATCCTTTCAAAAAACCAGCTCCTGGATTCATTAATTTTTTGAAGGGTTTTTTGTGTCTCTATTTCCTTCAGTTCTGCTCTGATTTTAGTTATTTCTTGCCTTCTGCTAGCTTTTGAATGTGTTTGCTCTTGCTTTTCTAGTTCTTTTAATTGTGATGTTAGGGTGTCAATTTTGGATCTTTCCTGCTTTCTCTTGTGGGCATTTAGTGCTATAAATTTCCCTCTACACACTGCTTTGAATGTGTCCCAGAGATTCTGGTATGTTGTGTCTTTGTTCTCATTGGTTTCAAAGAACATCTTTATTTCTGCCTTCATTTCGTTATGTACCCAGTAGTCATTCAGGAGCAGGTTGTTCAGTTGCCATGTAGTTGAGTGGTTTTGAGTGACTTTCTTAATCCTGAGTTCTAGTTTGATTGCACTGTGGTCTGAGAGACAGTTTGTTATAATTTCTGTTCTTTTACATTTGCTGAGGAGAGCTTTACTTCCAACTGTGAGGTCAATTTTGGAATAGGTGTGGTGTGGTGCTGAAAAAAAATGTATATTCTGTTGATTTAGGGTGGAGAGTTCTGTAGATGTCTATTAGGTCCACTTGGTGCAGAGTTGAGTTTAATTCCTGGGTATCCTTGTTAACTTTCTGTCTCATTGATCTGTCTAATGTTGACAGTGGGGTGTTAAAGTCTCCCATTATTATTGTGTAGAAGTCTAAGTCTCTTTGTAGGTCACTCAGGACTTGCTTTATGAATCTGGGTGCTCCTGTATTGGGTGCATATATATTTAGGATAGTTAGCTCTTCTTGTTGAATTGATCCCTTTACCATTTTGTCTTGGCCTTCTTTGTCTCTTTTGATCTTTGTTGGTTTAAAGTCTGTTTTATCAGAGACTAGGATTGCAACCCCTGCCTTTTTTTGTTTTCCATTTGCTTGGTAGATCTTCCTCCATCCTTTTATTTTGAGCCTATGTGTGTCTCTGCATGTGAGATGGGTTTCCTGAATACAGCACACTGATGGATCTTGACTCTTTATCCAATTTGCCAGTCTGTGTCTTTTAATTGGAGCATTTAGTCCATTTACATTTAAAGTTAATATTGTTCTGTGTGAATTTGATCCTGTCATTATGATGTTAGCTGGTTATTTTGCTCGTTAGTTGATGCAGTTTCTTCTTAGCCTCGATGGTCTTTACAATTTGGCATGATTTTGCAGTGGCTGGTACCAGTTGTTCCTTTCCATGTTTAGTGCTTCCTTCAGGAGCTCTTGTAAGGCAGGCCTGGTGGTGACAAAATCTCTCAGCATTTGCTTGTCTGTAAAGGATTTTATTTCTCCTTCACTTATGAATCTTAGTTTGGCTGGATATGAAATTCTAGGTTGAAAATTCTTTTCTTTAAGAGTGTTGAATATTGGCCCCCACTCTCTTCTGGCTTGTAGAGTTTCTGCCGAGAGATCAGCTGTTAGTCTGATGGGCTTCCCTTTGTGGGTAACCTGACCTTTCTCTCTGGCTGCCCTTAACATTTTTTCCTTCATTTCAACTTTGGTGAATCTGACAATTATGTGTCTTGGAGTTGCTCTTCTCGAGGAGTATCTTTGTGGCGTTCTTTGTATTTCCTGAATCTGAACGTTGGCCTGCCTTGCTAGATTGGGGAAGTTCTCCTGGATAATATCCTGCAGAGTGTTTTCCAACTGGGTTCCGTTCTCCCCGTCACTTTCAGGTACACCAATCAGACGTAGATTTGGTCTTTTCACATAGTCCCATATTTCTTGGAGGCTTTGTTCGTTTCTTTTTATTCTTTTTTCTCTAAACTTCCCTTCTCACTTCATTTCATTCATTTCATCTTCCATCACTGATACCCTTTCTTCCAGTTGATTGCATCAGCTCCTGAGGCTTCTGCATTCTTCACGTAGTTCTCGAGCCTTGGCTTTCAGCTCCATCAGCTCCTTTAAGCACTTCTCTGTATTGGTTATTCTGGTTATATATTCGTCTAAATTTTTTTCAAAGTTTTTAACTTCTTTGCCTTTGGTTTGAATTTCCTCCTGTAGCTCAGAGTAGTTTGATCGTCTGAAGCCTTCTTCTCTCAACTCGTCAGTCATTCTCCATCCAGCTTTGTTCCGTTGCTGGTGAGGGACTGCGTTCCTCAGATGGAAATTCAGAAATCACCCATCTTCTGCGTCGCTCATGCTGGGAGCTGTAGACCAGAGCTGTTCCTATTCGGCCATCTTGGCTCTCCACCCCAATCTTCAGTCTAGTCTCAGCTGATAAAACATGTTTAATCATTTACTTAGAAACTAAAAGCAACCAGAAGTCTATATCCTCATCTTCCCCATTCCCCCAGCGTCTCTCACCACATACTCTGTCTTCTTCCTATCACAATGGGTGAAGTGTCTCTTCTATTAAGACCAATCCTTTCACCTGTCATTGGATTTCCATCACCTCTTAAATATGCAAAATCTTTGCTCCCACATTCAATCCTGATTTCTCCTTTATTTTTAGTTTCTTCTATTGGATGATTTCATCAGCATGTAAACATTATATAATATCTCTCATCTTAAAAAACAGCCTCTCCCATAACACCAGGTTTTCCTTCCAGCTTCTCCCATTTCACTGGCCCACTTTTGACAAAACTTCTTGGAAGACATATTTACATTGTCTCCTTCTTTTTTCAAGCCATTCTTCCCTATCTACCAAAATTCTCCTTTCCTGTCTCTTTTGTTGACTGTTCATTCCTTTGGTCCAAAGACCTCCTTTATTCAATTCTACACCCTCTCCTATGTAAAGCCATCCAGTCTCATCCCAGTGAGTAACATCTTTATTCTGGTGGAGCTCTAACCCCAGCCTCTTCTGTGAGTTTCTGACTTGCATGTCCAATTGCCCATTCAACATCTTAAACTTAACATGTCCAAAAATGAATTATTGATATTCCTTTACCCCACACCCAGCTTCTCCACAATGTCCCCATTTAAGTAAAGATACCACTGTTCAGCCATATGCCAGGCAACCTTGGAGCCATCCTTGACTCTTTGCTTTCTCTAACATTCTGTGTACAAATCTGCCAGCAAGTTCCATCTACTCTCCCTTCAGTGTGTGTCTTGAATTAAATTACTGGCATGCAGCTGATAATAGAATTATTAACCGTTGAGAGGCTGAATATGTGAAATGTTTCAGCAATAGAGAAGTTCCAAGGAGGCATCTGAATTTTCAGGTAAGAAACTAAAAGACAGTAATGATGATATATATATGTATTTTCTCTGTTCTCCTAACTCCTGAGGGTATTTTAGTGATTGGATATGGAAAGAAATCACAAATTGCATTTAAAATTGTGAAATTGTAATTCAGTGGTGAGACCATGAATGTATTGGCTTGCTTTTTCATATTGAGCCATTTCCCTAATTTTTGTTTCATTATGTTTTAATTCAAAAGAGCATTTTTGGGTGAATATTATATGCAAACAGGTAGGTGGTAGAAAATGCACAGTGGTGCCTTGAAATTTGAAAAAGGAGATACTATATGAATGCTATGGCTCCTGAGGGACAAATTGTTTCAAAGGGAGCTAAGATTCTATTCTAGGCATTCAGGCAAAGAATAAGAACCCAGAGAACAAACTAGCAACCACCAACATGAGATCCCTCAGCAACCCGCATACCTACTTATATACCATTCCAATGTTTTCAGGTTAGTGGGATGGCCAAAGAAGAGAACAGACCATTCCCACTTCAGGGATTATAGTGAGAAATTAAGTAAGAGCTACTTAATTTTTTACTTAAGTAAAACCTGTCAACTGGTGTTACTTTCTAATGGAAGAAAATAATCCATTTCATACAGCACCTGGCACTCCTATAATCTTCTGTGCTTTGATAAATCTATGTTACCAGGAAAGATAATCTTGTAGCTCTCTGATCACATGGTCTCACTCTCTCGATCCCACTCTCCCTTTCCTTCTCTTTTTCTTCCTTCATCCCTCCCTCCCTTCTGCCCTCTTTTCATTTATCTATCTCTCTATCTATCTTAATTTAAATTTCAAACTAAATTACTTCAAAGTAAGCAATCACAAATTCTTGGACAGGAATCTTATAAATGCTCTCCAGAATATAGCTATCCTAGCTAATTCTAAAAGCTTTCTCTTCAAGAAAGTCCTCAACAAGCTTACTTGCTGAATTTTACACCTGCTTGTTAAAGGTCTTAAGGGTGAGGAAGGAAAGGGGGAAATGGTGAGATAATTTTTTTAATTGAATAAACTAACTTTAAAAGAACTTCTTTCAACCTGCCAAGGTTCTTAGAAAAATGGGATAGCATTTTGTAGTAGGCAACAAATTACATTATTTCCTCTGGTGTTGCTTGTGATAATCACATTACTCTCCAGCAACCCTCCAGGTATTCAGGTGGCTACGAGGTGTAATTCCATAGTAGTTTAAATGCTTCACTGTAATTTATAGTAACCTGAATTAATATCCATTTACTATGAAGTATTAATAAGAAAAATACATGTAGGGGCTTTGTGTAGTACTGTGTTTTTGTACTTTAGGGAAAAGAGAAAACCTTGCACAGTACCACATTCCCTAGTTATTCACAGTGAAAGCTTATTAAACCGCCATTTTGCAGGCCAATAATCTGAGGTTACCAAAGGCTGAGGACACAGTAACAAATGATGAAATATTGGTGGCTTGGCAAAATCATGCAATTGATCATATCAGTCAAGTAGTTGAGAAAGAGCAAAGCAGATGAAGCAAAATGTTTCCAGGATGTATTTGATCACAATGACTTTTGGCACATTTTAAGTCTCCCTTTGATGCTTCTAGCCCCCTTCCTACCCCACTCACTGACCTCACACCAATGACTTGGTGACAATGGAATATGAATGGAAGTGACAATGCTTTGTCATGAGTTCTGCGGTCCCATATTGCCGTTCCTCAATCCACCTGCATCACTGAATAAGTAGGAGCTGGAGCAGAGACCTTCCAGATGGGCTACCCCACAGGGAATGGGTAATGGGGATAAGCAATAAACATTTGTTGTTTTAAGTGACAGATGTTTTGGAGTCATTCATTACTGCAGCATAACTTGGCATAGGTAAATAATACAACCTATTTCAAAGAGGCAAAAATTTTCTCAATTTGAAAAAAAAATAGGATTTAGGTTGCAATCATGTTATTCTACTTACAATGCAAAAAGCCACAGATCTTTATTAAACTTAGCTTCCAGGGAAAACCTTCTTAACATTTCCAAGATCACAAATTCCTTTTTGTAATCTGCAATTTTTATCTTTATTTCAATTGAAATATAAAAGGAATACGACTAATTAATAGTTGTGATGTTATCTGTGGTAAGATGTTAAATGTAACTAAGAATTCAACATTAGGTTTTTATGTTAACAATAGAATTCACAGAGAGATTTCATTTATTTGCATGAACAAACAGTTGAACACTGGGGCAATTTAATTCACCTTTTAGCCAAGGATAGTGGTTCAAAACTAAAGGAAGGCAAAATAAAATCATTAGAATTCTCAAAAGGGAAAAACCTTCTCATTCTGGATGCATAATGTTGGGTGTGTCTTTTATAAATTTGTACCATGTGCTTTGTTCTACCTAGTAATAGAGCCTTACTCTAACTTTTGAATTAGTTGAAGAGGTTATGAAAAAACAGCTATTCCATGGTACTCCCACATGACTGTCTTTTCTAACAAGTGACCCAAACTTACCCAATGCTATTGCCTTACCCAGTTTGGCAGCCTGAATGCAAATTTTCTGAGTAGTATCTGGCAAAATGACTCTTCAAGAGACAAAGAGTAGTCCAATATTTGGTACCATGCCATGCTATACCAGGCCCTGGTTTTTAGACTTTCACCAAATGAGGGGAAATTGACAGCCACAGTGCAGAGATCAGCATGGAGGGCAGGTTCCTGCAGCAGCAATCAAAGCCTGGGCTTGCCACTGTGGCAGCCCTTGGATTTCTCATTCTTTTTTATTAAGCTCAAGCTGTTTTTCAGGGAATTCAAACAACTATGGCTTATATTTCTAGTGAGGAGATAAACTATAGAATTGTGACCCTTCTTTCATAGAAAGAAAACTAAATATGAGTAGTTTCCCACCCCTTCCCACCAAACCTAACCCTATAATATTCCTGCAGCCTGGACACTCGGTCTCTGCTTACTCGTCTCTAGAGTTGGAGAACTTAGCATCTCCTGTGTCTGTACAGCTGGAGCTATTAGAAAGCATATCATTATACGTCACTGTAATCTGGCTGTCTCTTATTTACACTCATTGACCCTAGTTTTATCTCTAGGGTCACACTGAATGAGTTTGATCCCTCTTCCACATGAAAGGGCTGAAATACTTGAAGTCATTCAATATTGCTTCACCTTTCCCAGGGCAAGGACTCTGCCCCAAACAAACCTTCCTCTTTCTAAACAAATCAGTCACTATCCTTCCACAACTACTCATTTGGTAGAATTTCTAATCTACTCACTTTTTTTTTTTTTCTAAGACAGGGTCTGACTTTGTTTCCCAGGCCAGAGTGCTAGTAGCAGGATCATAGCTCACTGTAACCTTGAAGTCCTGGGCTCATGCAGTCCTCCAGCCTCAGGCTTCTGAGTAGCTAGGAGACTACAGGAGCATGCCATCATGCCTGGCTAATTTTTTTTTTTTTTTCACTTGAGACTAAGTCTCGCTTTGTCACCAGGCTGGAGTACAGTGGCACGAACTCGGCTCACTGCAACCTCTGCCTCCTGGGTTCAAGCCATTCTCCTGCCTCAGCCCCCAGAGTAGCTAGGACTACAGGTGCACACCACCACGCCCAGCTAATTTTTGTATTTTTAGTAGAGATGGGGTTTCACCATGTTGGCCAGGATGTTCTCAACCTCCTGACTTCGTGATCCACCTGCCTTGGCCTCCCAAAGTGCTGGGATTACAGGCGTAAGCCACGGTGCCCGGCCTCCTGGCTAAATTTTTTTAAAAAGTTTGCAGAGAAGGGGGTCTCACTTTGCTGCCCAGATCATCTCGAACTCATGGCCTCAAGCAACCCTTCCACCTTGGCCTCCCAAAGCACTGGGATTATAGGCATGTGCCACTGCACCTGGCTTCATCCACCATTTTGATACTCTCCCCAGAATACACTAAGGTTTAACATTATTTTCCTTAAAATAGGAGTCTCTGGGCTCCCTGTACTGAGCCTAATTATCTAGAAAATGCAGAGAAATGTATGCCTTAAGCCTTTCACTCTAGGTATTTGACCAATGGGCTGTGTCAGCAACCACACCCCACTATTGATCCATTAGTGCTACTTATCAAGGAAACTCTTTAAGTCCACTTTGTATGTGTGACTCCTAAACCTTCTTCATTATAGGGTAGTGCCAAGGGAATATTTGACACCAAAGCTTTCAAATCTTAACTTAGTAAGATGAAACTTCACCTTGCTAACATGGTTGGAGAAATCAAAAGACTGAGTATGTAGTCATAATTCCTACCAACTAAAGGTAATTTGAAGATAAGTTTTAGCTATTAGGACCTTTAATGGGATCCACCTAGCCCTATAGGATTGTGGAGAAAGCACTGAGAGCTGCTACCACAAAAGGGTTGTTCCATCCTTGTTCAAATCTCTGGCACCCAATATAAACAAAGCTCTATGGACTTTTTTGCATGTTCACTCCAACTCCATGAAACACGTCTCATAAATGTCTGCTATGTCATTTTCTCAAGCCTTTGGTTAAGACAAAGAAGTCCTAGCAGCAGAAGCATCAACAGCACAACACACAGCCCCTCCACCACAAAGAGAAAAATGAAATTTTATTCTAAAAATACTCCTTACCATCTTATTTCTTGCACAAATATATAGACGCTGACTGTGATATTGTAAACATGACAGTCCCCTCAATGTGAGCTGAATTAATTGATTTATTAGGAGCAAAATAGCTACGTGGGCTGGACTAAATTGGCTTATTAAGGATTCAATTGTACTAATTGCTTACATAGTGGGCAAAGGAACAAAGGGAGGAGGAGAGAAAGAGAGGCAAGTGCCTGTTGGAGAGATCCTTGCTAGTCAGTCCACAGTGAAGGAGAATGCCCTACACCTCAGTGGCTTATGTAAAGCTACTGGGCTCCTGCAAGGAAGCAGGAATTTAGAATACCATGTTAACCCAGCTAAAGCTCCAAAGAAAAATCTATCGTGTTACAACTAGTCACTTGTCTTATTCTGCCTGCACAGATATTGGTGCATAAACACTAAGAAAAAATAAGGCTCTCCTTTCTCACTTATAAGAGCGTAGGTTCTCTGAAAAGAAAAGAATCCTGGCTCTGAGCTGAGGGAAAGCAGGAAAGGCCTGAGGTGACTAGGTGGTGTGTTAGGGCAAGTTTAGAGTTTCCCCAGGCACAGAGATTATGGAGAAGCCATGCCAAAGACAGCTTAATCATGGTACAGAGCATAGATTTTGGAGTCAGAGAGAACTGGGTTTGAGCTTCTGTTCTGTCATTTTCTGTCTGTTCTTATGCAACTTACTTAGTTTTCCTGAGCCTCAGTTTCCTGTGCCTACCTCACAGAACTTTACAGAGATGCATATGAGAGAATATTTGAAGGTGGTTTTTATCATGCCTGGCACATAATAAACATTCAATAAATGAAATCATTTTTTAAATGCCTCCGTGATTGTCAGAAGAACAATTTTATATAATCCACTCTAGAATCTCTTCCAGATCCAAAATTCTATCAGTCTCCATCTGTACAGTTAATTAGAATCACAGAATGTTAGAGCTAAAAGGGACCTTAGAGATCATCTATTTCAACCTTCTTGCATTACATATGGAAAAACTAAGGTCCAGATTAAAGATTAAGTGCTTTAGCCACACTCCTAAAATTATTCTTATCAAGAGAAACTAAATCTTAAATTTTAACTAATTAAAATTATATTTCAAAAAAAGTGCTTTGCATGTCCTATGCACTTCAGCTTTCATCTATAGAGCTCTACAAAGGTGCAAATCACTCAATTAAGGTGCAAATCACCACTGTGGTGTAGGTAAGTATTAATTATCATTACTTATTTAATAGGTATTAAGCACCCACAAGTAAAACTCAAAACATAAAAAATAACCCTTGCCTCATGATGTTTGCTCATAGATGTTTCAGGTTAGCTTTGCCTTCCTTCCCACCCGCCCTACCAATATCTATCTCTCTATAAATGAGCCTCAGTATCACTGGGGTTGATAGCCTTTGTTAGTACTGAGCATCTGTTGTGCGCCTTCATTGTTGGCTCAAGACCTTAGGTGGGAGTAAAGCCTCTCTGGCCTTGTGTTCAGCTGTGAGTTTGCACTGGTCACTCGTGATTATGGGGCCTGTTGTAACTGCGTAAATGGACCTAGTAGAGTAACATTCGCCAATACATCATCCTCTTCAAGGCTTCCATATCCATTTAGGAAATTGCCTCTTCCTGGTGCCTCAGGTTCATTGTGCTATTATAGTATTTAAAAATAACCAGAGAGGATATTACTCAGATGATAGAGGTTGGTTGTTTTCGTCTCTCTATTGAGAGCAGATTTTTATTTTAAGTTATTTGATGATGGCAGGAAGGATTTCAGGCAAAACAAGGCAAATATCTTGACCGAGGAGGACCAAGAGAAGTGAAAACTTCATCCCCAGAACCATTATACAGCTCCATTTGCACCTTTCTGTGCGGTGGTTTATAAGTAGCCTGTTGAGAGGCAGGGAGTAGATGGCTCCCTTGAGGTTCCTTTGAGCACAATGATCACATGCTCTGTTATAATATCCCAGGAGACCTTGGATAAATAAAACTATGACTTGAAAAGTATTTCCTTCCCCTTGTTCACATGGAAGACAAATATGTCAACCACATCCTCCCCTGATATGCTCTTTCCTTTTCTGAGAAAAAAAGAACCTAAGAAGAAATGACACTTTTTCCCCCAAAGAAAAGGACCTCTCTTTAGACTAAGCAGAGTAGAAAAGAAGGTAGATATTATATAATATTTCTCAACCAAGAGAGATAAAATGAAGCCTTAGCCCCAATATTGCTACTGCAGGAATCTAGCTGAGACTCAAGGCTGGTGATCCTGACTCATGAGCTCCTGGTGTCTGGGGTACTGCAGGAAAAATTACAACAGAAAATGAAGGCTGGGCTTGATTTTAGGATTATAGGGGGTCAGAAATAAGCCAGTGTTTATGTTGCCTACAAAGAGCTTAATAGCTATAGTGCTTGAACTTTTGTGTTTATTTTAAAAAATGCCAGCAAACAACATTCTTTCATTTTTCTCTGCAATAACTGTTGGTTGTTTCAAATCCCTTCGTGAATGTATTATGGAAAACTGGGACAGAGTTTTCCCCTTGTTAGCTAAGTGCAGGCCTGCTGAGGTTTTATGTTAGAAAATAAGATTTTCTTTAAAGGAAATATACAGTAGAAACCTAAACCATCAAGCACAAAATCATGTAGCCCAGAAATGCATGCCTGTTCATATCTTTTTTGCCAAACCCTCTACCTTCCATTTATTGTATGCACACTATAAAGCCAAACAATATTAGTTTTAAAGGTATAATATGTTAATGGGTTCAACTTCGGGTTTTTTTGTCGTTGCTGTAATTTTTTGAGACAGAGTCTCACTCTGTTGCCCAGGCTGGAGTGCAGTGGCACCATCTTGGCTCACTGCAACCTCCACCTCCCAGTTTCAAGTGATTCTCGTGCCTCAGCCTCCCGAGTAACTGGAATTACAGGCACTCACCACCCCACCTGGCTAATTTTTTTTGTATTTTTAGTAGAGATGGGTTTCACCATGTTGGTCAGGGTGGTCTCGAACTCCTGGCCTCAAGTGATCTGCCTGCCTGGGCCTCCCAAAGTGCTGGAATTACAGGTGTGAGCCACTGGGCCCAACAAATGGGTTCAACTTTAGAGCAGTTTAGCTTTCTTTGCTCTGAAATGAATTTATTTCACAAAATACTTTATTAAGCGTTCATATGAATTTATATTTTTGTACTCTTATTTATGATCTGCTGGCCACAATATAGTCTTTTACACAGAATATACTGAATGTATGTTATATTTGCTTTCCTGTGTTAACACAGGATATATATACATATATATGTATTTGTTAACACAGGATATACATACACATATTTGTTTACACAAATATATATGTTAACACAGGAGATATATATATATACATTCACACACATACATACATACACACACATATAAAATATATTGAAAATACTTGAAACCCTAGTAAGTCTTCCAGTCCCTTAAAAATTTATGTACGCTCTTGGCTTGACAATCAGCTTTTTGGTGGCAAATGCATGAAATCTGGAGTTAGACTGAGGTTTGAATCATGTCTTGGTACTCACATAATCTCTGAGTCTTGAATCCCTAATTCATAAAATGTATCTATCAAGATCCACCTCTGTAATCCCAGCACTTTGGGAGGCCGAGGCAGGCCGGATCACGAGGTCAGGAGATCGAGACCATCCTGGCTAACAGGGTGAAACCACGGCTCTACTAAAAATACAAAAAATCAGCCGGGCGTAGTGGCGGGCGCCTGTAGTCCCAGCTACTCGGGAGGCTGAGGCAGGTGAATGGCGTGAGCCCAGGAGGTGGAGCTTGCAGTGAGTCGAGATCGCGCCACTGAAAGCACTCCAGCCTGGGCAACAGAGCGGGACTCTGTCTCAAAAAAAAAAAAAAAAAAAAATCCACCTCATAAAGTTGTGGGGAGTATTAAATGAAGTAACTGGCACATAGTTCCAAGCTCACTCATGCTATCTAATCAGCTTTTAATCAATAGTAGTTGTTGCTAATATTTTCAAAACTCTACAATAAGGATCTATTCTGAAACCTATATATACTCTGCCTGCACAAACTCTTGAGTGCTAAAATTTTATGGAGAAAGACCCATGAAAATAATCCTAGACTTCCTGACCTTAAAAGGTTTTCAGTGATGAGTGTTTAAAAAAAGTCAAATATTTAAAGGCTGTTTGTTCTATATTATCTCCACTAATTAATCAATGCAAAGCTTTTGTATGACAAGCCACATGTCTCAGCCAAATATCTAGCCTTTGCGTAGTGACATTACAATGGACAGTCGTTTATTTTTCTATGCTGTGATGTTTTCATTTTTTCGTCCTTGAACAAGTTAATACAGTATTAACCACAAATAATAGTTCATCGAATTTTTGTCTCTCTAGAAGAGGAGTAAGCTTGTAATGGTCCTATGCTCTGTGACCAATAAGAGTAAAGAAAATTCTTCCTGAACAGGCAATTTTCTCAATACAAAAATATAAGTAAATTATTACAGTTGTTCTCCCACCTTAAAGAGTGATTGGGATCTGACAGAAATACAGGTTTAGCAGAAGATTGCACCCTTTGATGGGAGAGGTTACTGTCATGTTTAAAATTAAAAAATACATATTTTAACTTAACGATAAATGTACATTTCATGTGGTCTCTGGCATTTTTGAGCTTTTAACTTCAAAAAAATAGGTGGACTGGTAATTGAGAAGGGGGGAATACAATGTAATTTTTTTAAAAGAGCATTTTTTAATATTCTGGGTATTGCAAAGATCTAACTCTCTAGAAATTATATTTTCCATGACATTGTAAGTTCTTTGAAGGCATAGATATTTGTTTTATTTGCTGATGTATTCCATGCATCTAGAGCAGCAAGTCCTGGCTAAAAGATGCTCAGAAATTGCCCATGGAATGAATGACTAATAATCACTTAGATCAGAATGCAACTATATATTGTGTGCATATTACCAATAGTTAACTACTAAGGGAGAAAAACAATTCTTGCTTTATTTATCTCTCTGTTCTTTGAGATTTTCCTGCTATTACACTTGAAGATTAACCAAAATATAAAGTACTGCCTCATGGGTGTGATCACACTGCCTTCCAGCTCCTTTGATGGTCTCACCTGCGGCCCGCCCTTGTCATCAGCCTGGGACTTAACTGCAAGTTCTGCATTACTTTTTAATTGCAGATTTTCTTACCAAACATATTCCAAGTTTGTTTTTTAAAAAGGTGGAAAAACAAATTTGGAGGTCTCAAAACAGCAGATATGAATTTAGGAGCTTATTTTTTATGCTTACTCCTCTGTCTAAATACCACAGATTAATTTCAACATTTGTGGAAAACCAGATACACACCAAGCATTGTGCTAGATGGAAATGAGGGTATGTAATTGTAGACAGAAGGTTTTCTAAGCATTTAACAATAGTCAGTTCTCAGTTCTCTTTGGTGTTCAATTGCAGTGCTTTGTCACACCTTAAATATTAGCATGTGTATTCAATAAATGTATACATATATACATACGTACATATATAACATATATGTATATATTCTTTGTCTAAGAACAAAGAATAGCTAATTTGTGTATTTTTTGAATAATGGGATAATAAAGTCCCAAATTTGGAATGCCTCAGATATTGAAATGTCATGATGTAGTGTAAATAACTCTTTCAGTAATCCGGAAGAAGCCATTTTACCAGCAACTTTTTGAAGACTTCATCTTTAGGTTCTTTCTTTTTCCTTGGTATGTGAGACATTTGTATGCTTCTCACAACCACACATAATTCCTAGTCCTCATCCTCTGTACTACCAAGCTGAGAAATGTTGGGAGTCCAGAATCATTACGCAAACCACACAGCTGCTGTCATATCCCTTGCCTCTATAATTTCCCCTGATTGATATATTTGTGCTCAGAATGGATAATCCATCATTTTAAAAGGTTAATATAAAATGCTCACAATGGCAATTTTCTTTGTATTTGGTTTAATTCTATCTTCTCCCACTCTCCCTTATTTTGTTCTGTTCTTCAGGACTGGGCTTCCTTATCCCTCTCTGAAAAGCACAGTTGGAAATGTTTGCCTGTTACCCATCAAACACAATATGGTTGTAGTAGAAACAAAGGACATTCAGCCACAAGAATGACTGGGACAGACACAAAGACAAATATCTAATGAATTGGGACTAAAAGCAGCAGAACAAAATGAGAACTTTTTCCAGATTGACTATGATTTACAGTCAAGCACTTAGAATACCTTGTAGCATCCTTCTTATCCTTTGATGTGAAAAATCTCCATTTCTCATGCATTCATTAATAACTTCAGCAAACTTATATGAGCCATCTTGCTGCCGTCAGGGACTGTGGAATATACTGGGGACCAAAAAATTAATAAATCAAATATGTTTTCTATCTTTGAGGAACTCAAATTAGTGGGAGAAATATATGCATAAATAGATAATCACAATGCAATTATATACATGTAATGGTATTAAGTCATCTACAGGGACATTGCACCAAAAGTAATGAACTCTGCCTGAGGAAGTAAAGAAAAGCACCAGAAAAGAGGTGGTATTGAACTTGGCTTTAAAACAAAAGTACAAATGATATCTTACATGGAAAGTGGGCTGGTCCCATGATGCCAAGTTAAGAACATCTAGAATGCAAGCTGTGGGGGAAATTGATACAATGCTGGGAAGGGGGAATGAGGCAGTACTGCATTGCTATGGAGTTTCCATTTAGTTGTAAAATCAAGGGTTTCAAAGCAGGGATTAATATTGCCTTTTTTAGAAACAGCTCTAATGCTAGAAGGAGGAAAGAGGTGGGAGAAATAAGGACCTGCTGGGAGGCAGAAGTGTTAGGAGTCATTTGTTTTCTCTTTTTCCCATGTTGCCATTCATTCAGCGAAGCATTGTCATATATTATTTTGTCATCTCAAAGTCATTAGAGGCTTATTTTATTGCAGAACAAAGCAGAATTGTCTTATTTAAAGCCCAAGCCTGGCATGGAAGAATGAGTTGTCTTCTCTAACATTCCAAACGCAAGGTGATGTGTGTGTTTCACAAAGAATCATTCATAGATATTAGTCAATTCTTCCTAAGGTAGCAGCCTCTGGAAGCAACATCACACAAATCCCATTTCTGCTGCCTCCTAGCTCCCTCAGGTACTGTCTGATATTATCCAAAAAGAACTGCACGTTATTTTTAGATACTTCCCAAAACTTTCTCAAGGACCTCAAGAGACCTGTTGCAGGTCTAAATCATTATCTCCTTCCATCTGCTCTCCTCTTCCCCTTCTCTTCTCTCCTGTGACTCCTCTATCCTTTTCTCAGATTCTGGAGGTTCTCCAGCTTTCCATTTTGTATTCCTTTGGGAGTCTTTGATTGTGCTTAGTCCTAAGGCATGGATATATGCAGCATCCAATGGGTAAAAAATGTTCTTCTTCCCATGTACTTTTTTCTGTCTCCATATTTGTCAGCCACAGAACGCAATAGCCTCTCATCAAGGTTTCATTAGAGACTTCTGAGAAGTGACTAACCATTACTTTATAAAATGAAGTGCTCCATATTTGCTGTGTTTGTTCATGTCTGCCAATTCTGTTAAAAGAACCTTTGAGCTTTCCTTGGGATTTTGTTCCATCACACATGCCCTGAAGAAGGGTATTTCTACCCACAAAATGTGCCCAAATGTCTGCTTCACTATTCTGAACTCTGAGAAGGTCACACAGTGTGACAGTTCTCTCTGCTTCCTGATGAAGGGGAAAAGGCCCCTGATCCCTTTCACCAGGATCCTGAGAGCAAATCCTGAGCCAAATGAACTGCTAAGTGATGCAGTCATTTTGTTACTGAAGATTTCCTAGACTGGCCTCCTGGTTTCACTCCGTATTATTTCTTTAGCTGCTTATTTACTTTTATGTTTCTTTAATCTTTCTAATTGAAACTTAGAAAACATCATGATCCTTTTTACTGGAGAACCAATATTCTAGTGGAAGGCTTTAGAATTCAATCATATTAATTCACAACTTTGCTTCCCTTAAAATCATTATTTTTACTATTATCAAAATTACACATGCACATAACTCCGAAAGTCAAACAATCCTGCAAGTCTTCGAGTTAAAAAACATCAGTTCCCTGCCCCCAAATCTTCCAAAGCTTCATCCCTAGTTTCTGGAAAAAGCCACATTCAGCTTTTCTATTTTCCTTCATATTTCTGAATAACATGCTTATATACTCTTATTTTTATTTTTCAATTTTCCGAGAATGTCTGTAACTTTTCTTCATCATATAAAAGATGAAGATTTCGCTCTCTTAAAGACTTTCTGCTCATCTCCCACACACATGATTATCTCACAATTCTTGCTCAAATCCATCTTCAAGTTCACTTTATTATTAACGTATACATAGTAAGACATGTAAAATGCTTTCATTATATTTTCTTTTGTATACTACTATCCAATGTGGTTCTACCTCTTTGCAATCCTGCCAATAGTGTATGAGAAATCAGTTGATTCACATCCTCATCAGCACCTGGTATTGTCAGATTTTATTTTTAATGTTTTCCAAAGTCAGCCCATAGTGTACCATGAATCATTGATTCAGGAAGAGCTGGGATGTGCAAAGAGGCCCTTGCTGTCTGATGGTTTGGATATTCCCCAATTAAAAACTCCTGATAAGTGGGTATTTATTCAGATCTTCTTTGGCTAGTTTTCTTATGCCTTTTAAATATTTTAAAAAATATTTCCTTTTCCTTTTATTCTTTTTAGTGAATGCATATTTTGTAGATGATTTGGTTGAAGGAGAAAGCCACATGTTTGGAGAGGGGAATGCATTCCTGATGATTCACAGTCACTTCTCTTTTGTCCATCCTCCAGCTCTGCCTCCAAATATGATATACTGGGCCCAGCAGTTGTCACTTTAGCTCAAAGTAACACCCCAATCACAGCAAATCTTACTGTGCTAAAACATTCTCCACCATAGATAACATAAGGAGATACTTCAATTTCAATTCTACCTTTTAGGCTTTAGCCTTTAGAAAGTCTTGAGTTCACTGAAGCACTATAAGATGTTAGCCAAGTAGTTAACTAGGACTGGCAGGTGCTAACTATCTATAAATACTTGAAAGCAAAATTTGCCTCAGGTAAACTTCACGGAGCAGACAACTTGCCTGAGGAGTCTAAGTTGGCTACACAAATAATACTCCAGGACCAATATAACCCCTACCATAGAATTCCCAGGATCAAAAATGAAATAATATATTTTGCTAGTTTCCAAAATTTTCTACTGCTTTGGAGTTGCACTAAACCTTAACACATAATGATACAGAAGAGAATAATTGCTTGTAAATGCCATGCTAGTGATCAAATTGTCTACACATAGTTCTACCCAAGAAGAAAGTCTCTTTTTAGTGATTAATACTTCTCGGTTTCATGCTTTAATCTGTTTTGTGCTGCTATAATAGAGTACTTGAGACTAGGAAATTTATAAAGAATGGAAATTGATTTCTCACTGTTCTGGAGGCTAGGAAGTCCGAGATCAAGGCACTGACGGATTTGGTGTCTGGTGAGGATCCAATGCCCACTTCCAAGATGGCACTTTGAACGCTGCATCTTCCAGAGGACAGAAACACTGCTCCTCACAAGGCAAGAGTGGAATGGCAAAAAGAGAGAGCCCACTCCTGAAAGCCTCCTTTTTTTCTGGAGACTGAGTTTCACTTTTGTTGCCCAGGTTGTGCAGTGGCGCGATCTCGGATCACTGCAACCTTCCCCTCCTGGGTACAAGCGATTCTCCTGCCTCAGCCTCCTGAGTAGCTGGGATTACAGACATGTGCCACAACACCCAGCTAATTTTTTGTATTTTTAGTAGAGATGGGGTTTCTCCATGTTGGTCAGATTGGTCTTGAACTCCCGACCTCAGGTGCTCTCCCTGCCTCAGCCTCCCAAAGTGCTGGGATTACAGGCGTGAGCCATCGTGCCCTGAAAGCCTCTTTTTAAAAGCATTAAACCACCCATAAGAGTAAAGCTCTCTTTGTCTAATCACCTCTTAAAGCTCCCACCTTTTAATACCATCAGAATGGCACTTAATTTCAATGGGCGTTTTGGAGAGGGCAAACATTAAAATCATAGCACATGTGTATGCATATTATATTCATCATATACTGTGACAATTTTGAGAATTTCAAGAAGGAAATATGTCATAGGTAAAATGTCTGGCTCATAAAACATAACCATCACCAAAAACACAACTAAAAAGAAGCAATATAATTATTAATAATAATTTGGTTGTATAGTACCTGTATTTTCTCTGCACTGATGATTATTCATGCTTGGTTCTAAAGATATTAACAACATTAATAATATCGATATCTTTTCTTTCTAAACCCACAGAATACGTTTACATTTTTGAAAATGTTGACCAAATTACTCCAGGTCTTAAAATATTGATAGAATTTTTTTATCTTTTCCACATGATGCTCACTCCATAACCCTTTGCTTACATCTTTAACCATCAGCAACAAACAGGAGGCGCTCATGTCTCTTCAGGATCAGAAAGGAAAAAGCAGAAGGTAACTAGGCATTTCTTTATGACTTTTAAGAAAAGTCTGAATTTGTGTCATTTTGTGATATGGTTGTACAACACAAAACTATTATTCAACTGAATGACAGAAATATCAGCAAAATTTGTCTTTTTCAATCAAATATCACTGAAGTTAAAAAAAATCAAGTTACCTAAGTATCACATAAACACAGTTTAGGACTCTAAGATGGAATATAACCTCTGCCTGATGCCAAGAAATTACAGAGTTGAGCAGCGTCATGCCTCTTACCCAGCCTAATTTTTGGAAGTTTCCCAGGTTTGACTCCATTTTATTGCTGGTTTCACTTCTATAGATAATTCAGTAATCCTTTATTTGTTCTGTGATCTTGTTTTATTTTTGCAAAAGCACTGCAGTTTCCCTTTAAAATGATTTTTGTGATGTTGTGCACCAAAATCATCTTAACACATACACATAATATTCTGGGATACATAAAAATGATGATGACATATTTTGGCTTGTATTTTTTTTTAGAAGTGAGGAGGTTTTTCTAAACTAGAATATAAATGATGGAGTTTATATATTTAAAAAATGTCTAAATGTGTTTTTTAATGAGGCATTTCTGTATTTCCCATGGCAATTTGAGATAATCACTGTGTACAATCTTTTAAAACAATTTTCCACATTTATTTTTAATTAAACTTGAGTAGGCTGAAAAATCTCTCAATTTACCTTCAAATGAACACTCTATTTAATTCAAGTCTACTCCCATCCCCCACTAAAGCTCTGGCCAAGCAATGAGGTGAACAACGTTCTCATTAGTTTTTAAATATGGATGTGTGGGCATTTTCTCTACTGGTACAATTAAAGTTATAATTCTTTGCTTCTGGCGTTGTGATAAAGTAATATTTTAAGGATTGACCTTGAGTAACATATATCATTGTAATTGTTTTCCCTTCTTTTAAATCAGAATTATAGATGTTACAAAGAAGTCACATAGAATTTATTTACTGTGACATTCTAGTTACCAATATTTATTAATCAAATGTCTAATTTTTTGAATGATGTTTTCTATCTGGTTTTGAGGTCCAAAATGGGAGGGGGAGGGCAACCTCTTCATTAGAGACAAGCAGTCTCATCTGATAGCTTTTATGTAAGTGGTAATACTAAGGAAAATGTTGCTGTTAATCATGCTTATGCATCACAATTTTTCCGTGAAGTAGAAGTAAATCCTCGCTTTAAAGGTGAAATAAATGGTATAGAGAAAATTTGAAGTTGCTATCAATAGCTGAAAAACACGCAGTTTCAGAAAACAGTACTGCCCAGTGAGTGAGTTTTTCTTTAGGCTCTCTATCTACTGTGTTCAGAAGAACAGTTTCCAGCGCAACTCATAGACCAAGAAACATCACTGGCTATCCCCATGCCTTGTAAAACAAAAGGTAACGTATCAACCTTTGCCTCATGGGCAATCGACATATAGCAAAGGGCAAAGAAGAATTGATGTGACTGACTAGGAGCTGCCCTCTGTGCTCTAGGAAATGAACTGGGACAATTAATCTGATTTTCCTGCATAACAACAACAAGAGCTCCACTATGCACTGAGAGAGGATTTTATCCAAACGGCTCCAAGTGCACCACTCCAAGGGAATGGCTCATAATTATTTCCTTATTGTCACTCCTGTCCAGAGCAGATGTGAATCATGATCAAAGAGAAAGCAGGTTGCTGATTAATCCATATCAACTGTCATCCAACAGATTCATGGTATAAAATATTACCTGAACTTTTAAAACAAATAACTGTAATTACCATTTAATTGATTTTTAACCTTCAACCACATTTTTCAGTCATAATTTTAACTTAAGTTAGAACAAAACTGAGCTATCAGATGTCTATGAACCCGCAAAGAGGGTACTGCAGGAAAGAAGGAACTCAATTCAAAGCAGGTTAACTTTTATTAACCTTAGCCATTACTCTAATAATATGTTTCCTTCTTCTCACCAAGTGTCTGCGACTAGTCTAATAAAAAAATAAGTCTTCATAGAATAGAACTAAAACAGCCTATCAAATAGTCACCTAATCTAAACCTTAAATTTCATAGATTTAAGACTAAGACCGGGAATTTTAGGCAATGTGCTCAAAGTGACAGAAATAGCATTGAAACTACATCAGCCACTTTATTCTACAAACATAAAAAGTTAGAACCTGAGGATTTCAAGTCATTTTTCCAAGTTTATGGGCTGGTTGGTGGAAGGGCCAGAACTAAAGCTTGGGTCACTTCCAGGTTATCCCTAATATATTCTAGACTCAAGGCAAGAATACATATGGAAACTCACATACCATATGTCTAAATACTTAAAAGTTATCAATCAAACTAACAAACTGTTAAATAAAATATGTTCTGTACTTTGTCAACCTGAAATCATCGAAAGGATCGGAATCTAGTTTTAAAGAATTTAATTCAAGCGAAAAGCTGGGAATAGCGATTTGGGAAGCATGGACTCCACAGAAATGGGGTCAGTGCTCCAAAGTTAAAAAGTTAAGTTCTGCTCATCATCACTGGCCATCAGAGAAATGCAAATCAAAACCACAATGAGATACCATCTCACACCAGTTAGAATGGTGATCATTAAAAAGTCAGGAAACAACAGGTGCTGGAGAGGATGTGGAGAAATAGGAACACTTTTACACTGTTGGTGGGACTGTAAACTAGTTCAACCATTGTGGAAGTCAGTGTGACAATTCCTCAGGGATCTAGAACTAGAAATACCATTTTACCCATCCATCCCATTACTGGGTATATACCCAAAGGATTATAAATCATGCTGCTATAAAGACACATGCACACATATGTTTATTGCAGCACTATTCACAATAGCAAAGACTTGGAACCAAGCCAAATGTCCAACAATGATAGACAGGATTAAGAAAATGTGGCACATATACACCATGGAATACTATGCAGCCATAAAAAATGATGAGTTCATGTCCTTTATGGGGACATGGATGAAGCCGGAAACTATCATCCTCAGCAAACTATCGCAAGGACAAAAAACCAAACACCACATGTTCTCACTCATAGGTGGGAATTGAACAATGAGAACACATGGACACAAGAAGGGGAACATCACACACCAGGGACTGCTGTGGGGTGGTGGGAGGGGGGAGGGATAGCATTAGGAGATATATCTAATGCTAAATGACAAGTTAATGGGTGCAGCACACCAACATGGCACATGTATACATATGTAACAAACCTATACGTTGTGCACATGTACCCTAAAACTTGAAGTATAATAATAATAATAATAATAAAAAGTTAAGTTCTTACTACTGTAGGCAGAAAACAAAGACACTTAGAAGGATATAACATAGTTTATACGAGGCTGGTCGATGACTAACAACAATATAATTAAAGTTTGTTTTCTTTTCTGTCCAGTTTATTTTCTCTCCTTTTTTTACAGCTTGTTTTCTTTTTCTTTCTAATTTAAGAGTGTATTTAACATTCCATCCTAAACAATGTGATAGTCATGAAGTCTTTGTGTGAGAGAGGAAAGAGTAGCTGATCTATAATAAAGATTGACATTTAAGAGGGAAGTGGTCTTCCCTGGTACCCTTTAGTCATTTATGACATTTACACAATAATGTAGGTAAGGAAGAAGGCTAATCTGTAATCAGAAAAATAAAGACTGTCACTGTCTCGGTTACAGCTGCCAGTTTACATGACCCAGGTCCCATAATCACATTCCCTTAAGGCTCAAAATATTTTAAAGTTCCAACAGTTTTGATGTTCAAATTACTTATTTTCACAGTTTTTCCCATTCATCAAGATCTTTTGAAGAGACTATCGTAGATGAATTCAATGGTTTGACTTCTTTTATGTTCAGAATTTGAGTCTCACTTTACTAGGAAGCCTCATTGCTAGGATATCATGTCCCATGGCAAGAGATGACTGGACAAGATATGAAGCTGATGGACTTTAGGCTGAATTTAAAGCAACATGAAGGAAGTAACTCTGTGGCCTGAGTGAGGCTAAACAGCTATATATTCAATGAATGCAATTCTTTGGGAAACCATTATTTTAGTCTTTTCAGTCATGCATTGGTTCCATTGTAAACAAATGCTGTAACAACAGTGTTGACACAAACAGGCCAAAACACAACATGCAATTATAATTCCTAGAATAAGTAACAGATTTTGCCACCAATTTCCTTAGGATCCAATTTAGCGACCTAGGGAGTGTTTAGAGAAGATTTTAGGTATGAAAGTTTGGTTATTTGGGTTTTCATACCAGTCATTAATTTAGTGGTATTATTTGATTTATCTGGGATATAGACATAAAGTTCAGTTTTTATGATAAGGCAAGTTCCCTCTTGGGCTGCAGTGACTATGTCTAAAGCCATACAGTTCTGTAATACAGCCTTTCTCATAAGAATAACTTCCCTGTTTAATAATGAAATACCCATGTGCCCATCATTTAGGGTTTTGTGTATAATTGGTTAAGACCTCTCCATGCCAAATGACATAATCAAAATCCAGTTGTGGTACAAAAATGGAAGCTAAAAATCATAGCAATGGAACACAGAATGAACCCAACAAGATTGTAAATGAGGAAAATTTGCAAGTTTTTATAGTGTATGTCAACTTTGTGCCCAAGCATAACCCAAGGAACATCCTCTAAACCATCTGAGAGTAATCTTGGCCATAGGTTACTGCCACACAGCCAAGATGTTTCACTTGGAACTAATCAGTAAATAGTCATTGTGTCCTTTCAGTGGCATGTCAATCAGTACTTTGTAATATAATGGTGTGGATACACCATGTTTTGGGGATCTATATCTCTGGTGCAATTGGACCAGGTATCTTTGGTATGATTTCTTTTTTCCCAACATTAAGAGGTTAGTTGACTTATGCTGACCAAAGGAGAGGGTAAGCCAGATAAAAACATCCCAAATTTGTGTTATACCATCTTGACATTGAGTTATCTTATTTCTCAACTGGGGAAGCATCAGTGTTAAAGCTAATAAACTATATCTTCTACTGAGAAACTCTTCCCATGCACTTTATTCTGTATTATTTATAGGCCTGTGATGTACATTATCTTTAGCCATACTAGTGTTAAGCACCAATGACTTTTTGAGAAACACAAATATATTTCTGATATTCTATCCAATCTCATCCTTGGAAAGGAGATACCTACCATAGAAGGCCAGAATTACTGGACAGGGGCATGAGGCTGCAGACCCACCAAGCATCCTTTTGTAATCTACTAGTATAGTCTTGAACCCACTACAAAAGAGGTTTGCTTTATGGAAAACAGCTAGTGATGGTAGTACCAAGACATAACAACTAGGATGAAAAGAAAGAAGTTTAGCGGGAGCTTGTAAAAGAGAACCTTTCCCATCTATTATCAATTGATACCATTAAGCATTCTTTTAAATACAGGTCTAATTCAGGGCCTTGGGAAAGCTGACCCTGATGTCAGCTTTCTAATCACCTCTGATATCTTTATCTAGTCCCAGTGTCACTTATCTTAACTTGAAGATCATCTGGCAAAACAGTCTATTTAGTAGGTTCAACTTTTTTTTTTTTTTTGAGGCAAAGTCTCACTCTGTCACCCAAGCTGGAGTGCGGTGGCATGATTTCAGCTCACTGCAACCTCTGCCTCTGGGGTTCAAGCGATTCTCCTGCCTCAGCCTCCCGAGTAGCTGGGACTACAGGCGCGTGCCACAACATCTGACTAAATTTTTGTATTTTTAGTAGAGATGGGGTTTCACCATGTTGGCCAGGATGGTCTTGATCTCCTGACTTCATGATCCGCCCACCTCGGCCTCCCAAAGTGCTGGGATTACAGGTGTGAGCCACCACGCCCGGCCCAGTAGGTTCAACTATGATGAAAGATGTGAATCCAGGAGTCTATGCCTTCTAGTTTAGTAGCACAAGGATTAGTAAAGAATACCTGGTAAGGTCCATTTTATCTTGGTTGGAGAGAGTCCTTGAAGAGATGTCATTTCCGGTAGACAAAGGGTCCAGGTTGAAGCCCCTGGTTCTTGAGATTTTTGTCTCTGCGAGCTTACTGTGAAAAGATTCTTTTACCAATTCATATTTTTTAGTTAATTGTTTCACAAAACCATTAGAATACGTGAGTATATCTCCTTTTACTAATAAAGAGGCACAATTTCCAGGAGATATTTCCCTAAGTCTACCTCTTATAACTTCAAATGGAGATAACTAGTGTTTATTGAAGAGTGAATCTTAGGTTTAGCAAAACTTTTAAGGAGCTTTTGGCCACCAAATTTTAAAAGCCTCAGTTAATTTTGGTAGTTGAGTTTTAATTATCTTGTTTGTATATTCTGTTAATCCAGATGACTGGGGTTAATAAGCACAATGAAAATGTTGGGAAATAGGCCCGATTCTACATATTGATTGAATGATTTTTCCAGTAAAGTCAATGTCTCTGTCACTATGAAGTCCCAGAGGAAATCCTCAGGTTTAGAATAATTTTTTTCTAAAAGTATTTTCCTTACTGCTAATGCTATTGCTTTTCTGTATGGAAATACCTCTACCCAAATGAGAAAATATGCAAATCATTACCAGGACATATTTGTAGCCTTGTGACGGTGGCAGCTGAATAAAATTTAGTTGCCATATTTCAAAGGGAGCTCAGGTAAAGAAAAGTGTTCTTGGGAATCACGTAATGGTTTTCTTGGATTATACTTTGGCAAATATGACAGCAATTATATGCCTTACAAGCTGTAGTCAAAAAAGGTTTCCAATAATATTATTTTCTTCAAGCAACCATTTTGTCAAGACTCCAGTGAGTTAGATCATGTACAGAAGTTAAAAACGATAACTGTAATTCAGCAGGAAGTATGGGCAAGTCATTTTGCCCATTTAATACCTCACCTTCTGGGGAGTATTTTCCCCCTTTTGTTTTCCAAACTTATTGTTCTGACTTTGGGGCACCGTATTAAATTAATTTTACATCAACTTTGGGTGCTTTTTAAAAAGTTACTATAGGTTGGTTTTCCTGTTTAGATGTGTTTGGAGCAATTCTCTTTATTATCTTTTCAGTTGGCTGTTTTCCTCTGCTTTCTGGAGTATCTGATTTGAATGACCTGGAATTTGAGTAAAAGCCAGTGATTTTGGCAATATGGGTTTCAGTAGTTGTGAAATAAGATGTCTATTTTTTATGGATTGTCCTGAAGAGGTTAATAACCATCTTTGTTTCCATAATATTCCAAAAATAATGGGCTATTCCAAAAGCATACCTACTGTCTGTATAAATATTAGTGGATATTACTTTTGCCAATCAATAAGCCCTAATTAATGTTATTAATTCTGTTTATTGAGTTGAGGTGGATTTCAGAATATGGGTACTTTCTATCTCTTCAGTTAAAGACACTATAGTGTATCCAGCTCTGTAGACTCGAGATTTATCTTTTAAGTAAGATCCATCTGTAAACCTAACAATATCAGTATTGGTAAGGTGGGGGAGGGTCTCTCATTGGTCTGACCTGAAAGAAAGAAGTTGATCAGTTAGGGTTATGGAGTCATGTATCATCTCATCTAAAAATTAAGGCAACACAGTTGCAGGGGTTAGATGGTTACACCTAGAGATAATGATGTGAGGAGCTAAAAGAAGCAGGACCTTATGTGAGACCAATCTACTAACTAAGAAATGTTCAGTATGATGTGAGTTCAGCAATACATCCCCAGAATGAGGGGAATGGCTCAAGTAGTTCATTTTCTCTTTATTATTAGTGCTAATTCTTCATCTAGCTCATTTATAAAGCTAGAATTGAGGAGTTAATCATTCTGACGATTAGCATAACTTGCCTCAGATAAGCCTGAATATTGTGTAAACACCTTTTCAAAGCTTTCAAAATATGACATTACCAACTCATCTGGATTTTGTCAACATTGTTGTATTTTATGCCAGTCAACTACCTTTTAGAAGACTAAAGGCAGGGCTGTAAGCAAAACCTTTGCAGTTTCACAAGCACTCCTGTGGTATTCTTCTGAACATTTATGGAAATCTTCTAGGAGATTTCTCCAGGGGGCCTTATCTGTCCAATCTTTAGTCTTACTTTCTAAAACTAACATGTGAACTAGTTGATATAAATTCAAATAGTCAGGATCATAAGCTTGAATACTTAGTTAAAATTGTTTAGCAAAGCCAATAGAATCCTGATGAATGTCAGGAAATTCCTTAACTATGCCTTCAAATTCTACCTTTGACCATGGTTGATAAAGTAAGGCAGGTCCCTTCTTGCCCCACTACCAGGCATTGGCTGTTCATGAAACTGAGCCAGAACAGCAGAGGCAGGGGAGGACGAAAGGAAGGCTGTTGAGGGTAAAGTAATTCAGATGGTAAAGGGTAAAGAGAAAGGGGAAGTGAGGATGGGGAGGGGAAGCTTCTAAGGGAGGAGTAGAAGCTTCCAGAAACTTTTAAAGTGCAGAAATTGTTTTAAACAATCTTTCATTTTTCCTCCACAAAGAAGTAACTTTATTAGAACCTTCTTTGGATGCTTCCAAATACCATTGGAAATAACTCTCACAATTATTTTGTTTTATCTTAGAGCCAGCTTTTTCTAATTAAGCATGCAAGTAAGTTATTAATACTTTAGGTATTTCAAAGGTACCTCAACTTGGCTATTGTAATTTAGGTTCATCACAGGTTATATGAGACCATTTTAAAAAATAATTACAAGAGGTGACATCATAAGTATTGCATATGAATCTAGCTGGAGTTTGCAAAGGCAGATCTCTTGTTAAGGAAGACTTGGCTTTAGATGGCTGATTGCCTGTAATTTGTATTCTCTTTTTAAGTGACCACAAAGCTGAAAGGGAAAGATATTTTGCATTAAATGTACCGCTTTTGGGAATAGCTCTCCAAAGTGTCACCCTTGGGTTGATTCTCCCCTCCTATATGTTGTGTTGAAACCCAGGAATTCTGGGCACTAAAAGCACTGGGAGATTAGCCCTTTTTGTGGAGTATCTTCCTATATGTCCTTCTTCGGGGATTCCCTAGGGGACCAATGCTTGTCAGGAGCTATAAACTCTGACACTCTCACAAGACCTTAGTCACCTAAGGTGTTTTCTGCCCAGGAGAATCACTGTCCTTTCATCTTTGGCACTTATCACATTCTCATAAAGGTTTTTTTTTTAAATAGATTTTCAGTCACTCAAAAGAAGAATTTAAATATGCCAAGTTGAACCAAGCTTCAAAACCTGGCTAGTTTGAAACTTTCATTCTTGCTTATGCCAGAGACATTTATTCCCTCCTACTAAAGAGAAACAGCTTTATCTTTAACCAGGTTTTGAAAGAAAGAAAATGTTGCAAATTTTAGCAAGTAAAGTGAACAAAATCTTAACCTCAAAGAAAACTGAAACCACAAACCTGCTAACAGCAGCATCTCCAGAGAAATAACAAACAAAATTCCTTTCTTAAAGCAGTAGAGCTTCAATTCCAGCCCTGTTGAGCATAGAATCAGGTTGCTTGAATGAAGTCTGGATCTCACCTAAGCCAGGGACATTAAAAACCAGAGAGGGGCTCCACCAAGAGCTCCCATAAACTCTGGTGAAAGACAGTTGGACAGAAACAGTTCTGCAGGTACCAGGTGCTGATTAACGAAGCAACAGGAGTCAAAGGAAAGGGCCTACTTTGGATGCCATCTGAGTCACCATTTTCTTCAACCAGAAATAATTGAAAGAGTCAGAATCCAGTTTTAAAACATTTATTCAGGCAAAAAGATGGGAATGGCCATCCAGGAAAGACGAATTGCAGAGAAATGGAGTTAGTACTCCAAAGTTAAAAATTAAGACCAGCTGGGCATGGTGGCTCATACCTGTAATCCCAGAACTTTGGGAGGCCGAGGCAGACAGATCATTTCAGGTCAGGAGTTCGAAACCAGCCTGACCAACATGGTGAAACCCCATCTCTACTAAAAATACAAAAAAAAAAAAAAATTAGCTGGGTGTGGTGGTGCATGCCTGTAGTCCCAGCTACTCGGGAGGCTGAGGCAGGAGAATCGCCTGAACCCAGGAGGCGGAGGTTGCAGTGAGCCAAGATTGAACCACTGCATTCCAGCTTGGTCAACAGAGCAAGACTCTGTCTCAAAAAAAAAAAAAAAAAAAAAAAAAAAGTTAAGACCTTGCTTATATAGGCAGAACACAAAGAAATTTAGAAGGATTATAACATTTTCTATACAAGACTAGTTTTTGACTTACAACAAGTTAATTAGCTACAGTTTGTTTTCTTTTCTGTACAGCTTATTTTAATTTTCTTTCTAATTTAAAGAGGGATTTAACATTTCATCCTAAACAATGTGATAGTCATGAAATCTTGGTGTGAGAGAGGAAAGAGAGAAGTTAATCTTTAAAGAAGATCAACATTTAAGAGGGAAGGGGACCCTTTAATCATCTACAACATTTTACGCCCTTCGGTCATTTATGACTGGCACCCTTTAGTCATGACATTTTATACAACAATGTAGGTAAGGAAAAAAGCTAATCTGTAATTAGAGAAACAAAGATTACAGCTGTCTAGGTTATAGCTGCCTGTTTACATGACTTGGGTTCCATAATCACAGTCCCTTAGGGCTCAAAATATTTTAGAGTTCCAACAGCTTAGATTTTGATTTTCTTATTTTCACAACTCCTACTTTGACAAACATACATCATTATGATGTGGAAGGCTAGGTTTGAAGCAAGTCTTTAGACTCCTTAAAGTGCATGCAGAGAGCCAGCCCCTGGTACCCAGCCTCTGCTCTGCAGCCTACCATATTTTTCCACCCCTGGCTCCAACTCATTCCACTCTAGGCCTCACAGACATACGTGTAGACAATGCAGCTAGCAGTCTAGGCATGTCTGAGTCCCATCTCTCTACTTCCCTCACTCTCTTGGCCACCCTTTGGGCTCCTAGGTCCAGGAAAGAGGTCTTCCCAGGTCAACAAGCTGATTCATGACTCTTAAGTGTATTTCTTAAGTGTATTTCAAGATACCCATTACCCAGAGAATGGTCTAGTGGTAGTGGTGAGTGAGATGGGTGCTGCCTCTGGATGGACACACACCACTGGCCCTGAAGACAACTAACCATAGATAGAGAGAGTAAGGTTAGAGTTGGAGCTTGCAAAATATGGAGGCCTACAGCAGGGGCCTTTCTTGCTCAGATACCAGGGAAGCACTCATCTCTTTATCTCAAAGTCCTGTGTTTTTACTCTTTACCAGGATAACCCTCTGAGACATAATTGTTCAAAACATTTTATTATCCTTCAAAAAGATAATTTAGAACATCTTAATTTCTCATCCTATTTTCTATTTTAATCAAAACTGATCAACAGTGTTGGACTGACTAGTTTCATAACTTTTTCCAAAATAAAATGCATTTCAGCTGTTTACAATCATTTTAAATCCCAACTGCATATACCATTATCAATGAACACATCTTCTTTTTAATAGACTATGAGACAAGCTAATTTAAGATTCCAAATGATTGGAGGAATTCATAAAACTGGGAAGTCTTATAGAAATATCAAAGAATTTCAATATGAAATATATGGTAAAAGGTTAAAATAAGTGGTAATTGTTATGGTTTAATAAATGATGGGCTGAGAGATAAATTAATAGTCATCTTTAATTTGATGAATGATACTAAATTATCTCTCTGACTTCTACTGTGGGCAGTGCCAAAATTTTGAACAGTAAAAATTAAATCAATGATCTAGATTTTTCTAATTGTATAAATTCTCATTACAGACATCACCCACAATCCACACATACCCACCCACATGCACATATCTCAATAATTTAATCTGTTACTCTTACCTGGATATTTGCCTGTATGTAGTTATCACTCTCCCTTTTCAAATACTATTTCCTCAAACCATTCCACTTCCCCTTTACCTAGAGGGAAAGCAGGTAGATAAAAATGCTAGATTCTTTAGAGTTCACAAAAGTCTTTTCCCCAGTTCTCTCTTAACTTTATGATACCCTATGAAGTAGATATTATTCCCAATTCACTGATGAAAAAATTGAACATTAATGACATGAAAGAAACTGAATAAGCCACAGAACAATTATATGGGAAGGCAAGGACTCAATCAAGAAATGAGTACATGCCCAGTGTCCCTTTGTTTACATCATGTGTTTCTCAAACAAAAAACATCAACTAACTCCTGAGTAGTGAGCACCAATATAGAGATAAGAATGTTTTGAAGGATTTCATACTTAAGCAACATCCAGTTAAAACTGAACTTCAAACTATTAGTTTGGTGCAAAAGTAATTTTGGTTTTTGCCAACTGAATAGCAAACCACAATCACTTTTGCACCAACCTAATATAAGAGATTGTTGGAGAATCACAAGCTGCATTTGCGCCAATCCTCTGAATTCCTGCCACCCTTGTTTCAAGCTTTCTCAAACACACCTGTTGCTGATACTCACCTCTTCATCTATATTTGTTCTTTGTGTGTCAGTTGTTAGTTTATTCTGACTCCCTCCCATTACCTTTTATGTGCTCTGATAATACCTGCTTTGTTATTATTTAGTGAGAAAACTGATGCTAAGAATGAGTAATTGCCTTCTTTAAAGACCACACAACTGGGAACTGTTAGATCCAGAGCCATATGACTTCCACTGTATTGGGCCGGTGGAAAATGCAAAAATGGATAATCTACAAAAACCAGGAAATAATATCATAAAACCCATATTGTCATAACTGCTACAGTTGATTGCTTGCATCTTAAATTTGAAAATTCCTCAGAAATCTAGTTAATAAATTAGGCCTTAACTAACTAGGGAAAGAAACAACAGCTGCTGATGTACTATAGCCATGTTCTTCAGCCTTTTCAAATATAAAGGCCTTATTTTAAAGTAAATATTTAAAAAAATATTGATCACTACATGATAGTAGTTAAACTTTTAGTATTCACTGATTACAAATATTTTTAAAACCCACAACAAATTCAGGCACATTTTAAACTAAATTTGCGTTTCAATGGTCTATTATACCTACATACATTAAAAATGGGTGATATAATAAAACATGTAGAATTTTAAATACATGTTGCTAAGTGAGAGGCTCCATATTATATGATTCTATTTATATACATCCTGGAAAGGGCAAAATTATGGAGGCTATAGAAAGATCAATGGTTACCAGGTATTTAGGGAGAGAGAAGGAAGGCTGAATAGGTGAAGCGCAGGGGATTTTGCGGGGCTGTGAAACTATTATGATGCTATAATGGTGAGTACTTGGCACAAGGCAAGTACTATAGAATTTCACCCCACAAATAGTGAATTAATGTATGTAATTGAAAAATAATTTAAGAGGTGGAGTGATCTGAGAATGTGACAGAACATCTAACTTTATTACAAATGTATGAAACAACCACTCTGGAGGAAATAGGTGAGAAAGTGCTGATCAAAATAACTTTGGAAATAAGACGAATGTATAAAACTGAAGACAAGAAAAACTGTATGTAAGCACAATATTCCAGTTTAAAAAGTTGTTTGGCTTGGAAGTATGGGTTAACCATTCTACTACTGCTATACATGTACAATGAAATTGAACAATTATGTAAATGGCAGGTAGTGGGAACCAGGTATCTTACTGTGGGGGGAAATTTACAGATAGGCAAGGGGAAGAGGGAGAATGATCCATGTGGCAATAAATTAGAGTTGAAGATATCAATATGAAATCATTTTTAGTTTAATATACACACATATGGTTGCATATAGAAGTATTTATACATGTACATTTATACAAGTGTTAGTGTACACACGTATATTTTCTTTTTCTGTCAGGTAAGATGGTCTGGAAACAATACAGTAGCAATGAGCACACTTAGAGCCCAGATTTTGGTTTCTAATACCATTCTCCAATAAAAAGATCTTCTTTGAGAAATAGCTAACTGTAGTACTAGGGAAGGGAATATATAAGATGAGCCTAGAGCATATTGTAGTAAGAAGTCAGAAGTCAGAAAGTAAGAACTCATCACACACACACATTCAATGCTGGGAGACAGGAGCCAACTGAAAGAGTTCCAATGGCCAAAGCTGGAGCAAGTTGAGCCTGGAGCATTGCATCTTTTAGTGTCAGAAAATAAGAAAGTACTAAAAACATCACACACACACACACACACACACACACACACACAGATGGAACAGAGAAGCCAACTGAAGGAACTGCTAATGGCCAAAGATGAAGCAAATTGAGCAATAAAATAAAATATATTATATTATAATCCAAACTTAAATATCCATGAATCTACATTCATATTAATAAATGATTTAATATAAAATTAAATGTAGGAGAAGAGACAAATTTCCCATGCAGAATGACTGAATAATTTATGTAGATAAACCACCCCCAAGAAGGTGAAGCATAACTCCACACTCCTTAAGTGTGGGCTGCATATACTGATTTCTTTCCAGAGTACAGAATGGTAAGGAGGGGAAAAGAGTAGCTTCATACTGAAGACACCTGACAAATGAGTGAGAAATTTTATTTATTTGGTCACTCAATAACTCTTGGTATACATATTTATTTACAGATGCTGTTTAATAGCTGTGTAACTCCATGACCTATATCTTGGATACTCCTTTGTTTATAGGGAAAATAATGCAATGTTCTGAGAAGGTTAAAATCCCATTGAAACAAATATTAGAATTTCTGCTTCTAATCATGATGTGGTAACTGGTACCAGACTTGCCTCCCCACCAAAAGTAACTATATCACTAGAAAAACTATATGAAATTGGCAGCCCAAGACTGTAATGCTTTAGAGAAGGAAACCACATGAACTGAGCTCCATATTTTCTGGCATTTTTGCTTGAGAGTAATTTCTGGAGGGGTAGTATAAAGAAAGAAGGGTGGAGCAATGATCAGAGTTCAGACATAATGAAGTGCCATAGTGTGGGGCAGGGTACCAGAATGTAGGGAGCTATGCAAAGGGTGGCCCAAATCCCTGTGAGGCATCTCTATGGGTTTTGGCCAATGGCTTGGCTGTGCATACACAAGCCTAGACAATCTGAGGCCTCATAGAAAGTAGCTTCTGTGAGTCTGAGAGCTGAACAGGGATAGCAGAGCTATAATGGATAGAAGAGTTAGCACAGATAATGCAAACCTAAGAGATACTGGTGCTCCAGCCAAACCACAGTAAACTATACTGAGATCTTTCTTCATTCAGTTTATATCCCAGAAAAGCCATGCTTACAAGTAAAAACCACACCTTTGAGTAAGGGCCATACTCTAGGACTAAGAACTAAGGATAAAACCTAAAGAATCCCATCTTAACAAACAATAAGCCTAGCCTGAGAAGCTCTAAAGAATCTAACAATAATTTAACTGTCTTCCAGAATAAAATGGAATGTTCTTTAAGAAGACAGAATAATCCAGAATCTGCATCTTTAACAATAAACAATATAAATTTTTTAAAAGATTATGCAGCTTAAAAAGGAGAAAATTGAGATGCATAATCAACGAAAAAGCCAATGCAAACAGGCTACAAGATGGCTCAGAAGTTAAAATTTGCAGAAAAAATCTTTAACAAACTTGTCCAAGGATTTAAAGAAAAATATGGACACAATGAGTGAACAAATGAGGAATCTCCACAGATAAATGTAAAAGAATGTTAAAAAGCCAAAAGGAAATTCTATAACTACAAAGTACAATATCTGAAATAAAAAAAAATATTGAATGGGATTAACAATAGATTACAGATAGCAGAAGAGATGATTAGTAAATTTGAAGAGACTAATAAAAATATTAAAATCTGAAAAGTACAAAGGAAAAAGCCTGAACAAAGAAAAAAGCCTTATGTATCCGTGAAGCATCAAGCAGTCTAGTATACATACAACTGGAGTCCTACAAAGAGAAGAGGAGGAGTCTGGTGGAAAAAAAATGATTAAAAAAAATAATGGCTAACAGTTTCACAAATTTTAACAAAACAAAAACTACAGATTCAAAATGTTTAGTGAAGCCTCAAAAAGAAAACCACATTTGAGCCATCATAGTCCAATTCCTCAAAACCAATTATAAAGAGAAATGCCTTGATAGACTGTATTAGTTTTCTATTGCTATGTAACAAATTACAACAAACATGGGAACCTAAAAACAATACTCATTTATTATCTCACAGTTTTTTAGGTTGGAAGTCTGGGTGGGCTCAGCTGGGTTCACTACTGACGGTCTCAAGAGGTCAAAATCAAGTTATTGGCAGAACTGAGATTTTATCTGGAAGTTCTTGGGGAATAATTCTGTTCCAAGTTTATTCAGGTTTTTGGCAGAATCCAGTCCCTTGTGGTTGCATGTCTGAGATTCTTGTTTCCTTTTGGCCTGTCATTCAGAGGCTGCTCTCTGATCCTAGAAATTACCACTATTTCTTTTCATGTGGTCCCTTCCATAGTCAATACCAACAATGGCACATCAACTCCTTCTCACACTGAATCTCTCTGACTTCCTCTTCCACATGTTTACATTTGGCTTACCCAGACAATCCCCAGATTGATTAACTTAAGGTCAACTGATTAGTAACCATCATCAAGATTACTAATATCTTTTGCCCTGTAATGTAACAAAGTCAGGGCATGATATCTCATCATATTCACAGTCCTGAGAATAAATATGGCAAATTTCAGGGGCAAGGAAGAATTTTAGTACTCTGCATGCCACAAGTGAGAAAAGAAACCTTGTTTAAAGGTAAATAATTATGACTGATTTCTTATAGGAAAAAATATATGACAGTAGACAATAAAAAAGTACCTTTAAGACAGAAAGAAAGAAAACAAAAAACTGCCAACCCTAAATTACATATCCAGCAATACATCCTTTAATAAGAATATATTAAAATCATAATTCTTAGATAATAATATTAATATAGCCTTATGAATTTATGAGATAAAATTTAAAAAACATTTTTATGTAACTAAAATCAGAGAAAATTCATGAGATTGCACTATAATAAATGTTAAAAGAAGTTGTTCAGGCTGCAGGGAAATGATGCCAGACTAAATTCACATCTGCAGGAAGAAACAAAGAAAATTAAATATGGTAAATATGTGGTCAGATATAAAAACCTATATTTTTTCTTACAATAATTTCTTTAAAAGACAACTGGCTTTTTGGAATAGTGCCAAACACACTATAGGCCATGGGCCAAATCCAGCTCTTGGCTTGTATCTGTATGGCCTGATACTAAGAATTTTTTTAATTTTTAAAGGATTACAAAAGCAAAATATAAGAATGAATCAAAAACAACAACCAAAAATAATAATATGCATTCAGGACATATATGGACATCAAAGCCTAAAATATTTACTACCTGGCACTTAAGGGAAGTTTGATGACCTTCTTTTTTAGAGCAAAAAATGTAATAATAATAACATTTCATTATAGAGATTATAATAAATATTGTAGTTACATATATAACAACAGGAGCATGAAGGATGGAAAAAAGTAAATGAAATTATATTGTTGAGAGATTCTTACATTTTATGTGAATATTAAAATCGCAATGTTAACTATAGGAAAACTGTGATAAGAATGTATATTGCCGGGGGTGGAGCCAAGATGGCCGAATAGGAACAGCTCCAGTTTACAACTCCCAGCGTGAGCGATGCAGAAGACGGGTGATTTCCGCATTTCCAACTGAGGTACTGGGTTCATCTCACTGGGGAGTGACGGACAGAGGATTCAGAACAGTGGGTGCAGCACAGCGAGCGTGAGCCGAAGCAGGGCGAGGCATCACCTCATCCAGGAAGTGCAAGGGGTCAGGGAACTCCCATTCCTAGTCAAAGAAAGGGGTGACAGATGGCACCTGGAAAATCGGGTCACTCCCACCCTAATACTGTGCTTTTCCAATGGTCTTAGCAAATGGCACACCAGGAGATTATATCCCGCACATGGCTTGGAGGGTCCTATGCCCATGAAGCCTAGCTTATTGCTAGCACAGCAGTCTGAGATCAAACTGCAAGGTGGCAGTGAGGCTGGGGGAGGGGCATCTGCCATTGCCAAGGCTTGAGTAGGTAAACAAAGGGGCGAGGAAGCTCGAACTGGGTGGAGCCCACTGCAGCTCAAGGAGGCCTGCCTGCCTCTGTAGACTCCACCTCTGGGGGAAGGGCATAGCCAAACAAAAGGCAGCAGAAATCTCTGCAGACTTAAATGTCCCTGTCTGACAGCTTTGAAGAGAGCAGTGGTTCTCCCAGCACGCAGCTGGAGATCTGAGAACTGACAAACTGCCTCTTCAGGTGGGTCCCTGACCCCCAAGTAGCCTAACTGGGAGGCACCCCCCAGTAGGGGTGGACTGACACCTCACATGGCCGGGTACTCCTCTGAGACAAAAGTTCCAGAGGAGCGATCAGGCAGCAACATTTGCTGTTCACCAATACCCACTGTTCTGCAGCCTCCGCTGCTGATACCCAGGAAAACAGGGTCTGGAGTGGACCTCCAGCAAACTCCAACAGACCTGCAGCTGAGGGTCCTGACTGTTAGAAGGAAAACTAACAGAAAGGACATCCACACCGAAACCCCATCTGTCCATCACCATCATCAAAGACCATAAGTAGATAAAACCACAAAGATGGGGAAAAAACAGAGCAGAAAAACTGGAAACTCTAAAAATCAGAGTGCCTCTCCTCCTCCAAAGGAACACAGCTCCTCATCAGCAATGGAACAAAGCTGGAATGACTTTGACAAGCTGAGAGAAGAAGGCTTCAGAAGATCAAACTACTCTGAGCTAAAGGAGGAAGTTCGAACCCATGGCAAAGAAGTTAAAAACCTTGAAAACAAATTACATGAATGGCTAACTAGAATAACCAATGCAGAGAAGTCCTTAAAGGACCTGATGGAGCTGAAAAACATGCCACGAGAACTATGTGATGAATGCACAAGCTTCAGTAGCCGATTCGATCAACTGGAAGAAAGGGTATCCATGATGGAAGATTAAATGAATGAAATGAAGCAAGAAGAGAAGTTTAGAGAAAAAAGAATAAAAAGAAATGAATGAAGCCTCCAAGACATAAGGGACTATGTGAAAAGACCAAATCTACGTCTGATTGGTGTACCTGAAAGTGACGGGGAGAATGGAACCAAGTTGGAAAACACTCTGCAGGATATTATCCAGGAGAACTTCCCCAATCTAGAAAGGCAGGGCAACATTCAAATTCAGGAAATACAGAGAATGCCACAAAGATACTCCTCGAGAAGAGCATCTCCAAGACACACAATAGTCAGATTCACCAAAGTTGAAATGAAGGAAAAAAATGTTAAGGGCAGCCAGAGAGAAAGGTCGGGTTACCCACAAAGGGAAGCCCATCAGACTAACAGCTGATCTCTCGGCAGAAACTCTACAAGCCAGAAGAGAGTGGGGGCCAATATTCAACATTCTTAAAAAAAAGAAGTTTCAACCCAGAATTTCATATCCAGCCAAACTAAGATTCATAAGTGAAGGAGAAATAAAATCCTTTACAGACAAGCAAATGCTGAGAGATTTTGTCACCACCAGGCCTGCCTTACAAGAGCTCCTGAAGGAAGCACTAAACATGGAAAGGAACAACTGGTACCAGCCACTGCAAAAACATGCCAAATTGTAAAGACCATCGAGGCTAGGAAGAAACTGCATCAACTAACGAGCAAAATAACCACCTAACATCATAATGGCAGGATCAAATTCACGCATAACAATATTATCCTTAAATGTAAATGGGCTAAATGCTCCAATTAAAAGACACAGACTGGCAAATTGGATAAAGAGTCAAGACTCATCACTGTGCTGTATTCAGGAACCCCATCTCACATGCAGAGACACACATAGGCTCAAAATAAAAGGATGGAGGAAGATCTACCAAGCAAATGGAAAACAAAAAAAGGCAGGGCTTGCAATTCTAGTCTCTGATAAAACAGACTTTAAACCAACAAAGATCAAAAGAGACAAAGAAGGCCATTACATAATGGTAAAGGGATCAATTCAACAAGAAGAGCTAACTATCCTAAAAATATATGCACCCAACACAGGAGCACCCAGATTCATAAAGCAAGTCCTGAGTGACCTACAAAGAGACTTAGACTCCCACACAATAATAATGGGAGACGTTAACACCCCACTGTCAACGTTAGACAGATCAACGAGACAGAAAGTTAACAAGGATATCCAGGAATTGCACTCAGCTCTGCACGAAGTGGACCTAGTAGACATCTACAGAACTCTCCACCCCAAATCAACAGAATATACATTCTTTTCAGCACCACACCACACCTATTCCAAAATTGACCTCACAGTTGGAAGTAAAGCTCTCCTCAGCAAATGTAAAAGAACAGAAATTATAACAAACTGTCTCTCAGACCACAGTGCTATAAAACTAGAACTCAGGATTAAGAAACTCACTCAAAACCAATCAACTACATGGAAACTGAACAACCTGCTCCTGAATGACTACAGGGTACATAACGAAATGAAGGCACAAATAAAGATGTTCTTTGAAACCAATGAGAACAAAGAAACAACATACCAGAATCTCTGGGACACATTTAAAGCAGTGTGTAGAGGGAAATTTATAGCACTAAATGCCCACAAGAGAAAGCAGGAAAGATCTAAAGTTGACACCCTAACATCACAATTAAAAGAACTAGAGAAGCAAAAGAAACACATTCAAAAGCTAGCAGAAGGCAAGAAATAACTAAGATCAGAGCAGAACTGAAGGAAATAGAGACACAAAAAACCCTTCAAAACATCAATGAATCCAGGAGCTAGTTTTTTGAAAAGATCAAAATTGATAGACCACTAGCAAGACTAATAAAGAAGAAAAGAGAGAAGAGTCAAATAGATGCAATAAAAATTGATAAAGGGGATATCACCACTGATCCCACAGAAATACAAACTACCATCAGAGAATACCATAAACACCTCTACGCAAATAAACTAGAAAATCCAGAATAGATGGATAAATTCCTGGACACATACACCCTCCCAAGACTAAACCAGGAAGAAGTTGAATCTCTGAATAGACCTATAACAGGCTCTGAAATTGAGGCAATAATTAATAGCTTACCAACCAAAAAAAGTCCAGGACCAGATGGATTCACAGCCAAATTCTACCAGAGGTACAAGGAGGAGCTGGTACCATTCGTTCTGAAACTATTCCAATCAATAGAAAAAGAGGGAATCCTCCCTAACTCATTTTATGAGGTCAGCATCATCCTGATATCAAAGCCTGACAGAGACACAACAAAAAAAGAGAATTTTAGACCAATATCCTTGATGAACATTGGTGGAAAAATCCTCAATAAAATACTGGCAAACCGAATCCAGCAGCACATCAAAAAGCTTATCCACCATGAACAAGTGGGCTTCATCCCTGGGATGCAAGGCTGGTTCAACATAAGCAAATCAATAAATGTAATCCAGCATATAAACAGAACCAAAGACAAAAATCACATGATTATCTCAATAGATGCAGAAAAGGCCTCTGACAAAATTCAACAACCCTTCATGCTAAAAACTCTCAATAGATTAGGTATTGATGGGACGTATCTCAAAATAATAAGAGCTATCTATGACAAACCCACAGCCAATATCATACTGAATGGGCAAAAACTGGAAGCATTCCCTTTGAAAACTGGCACGAGACAGGGATGCCCTCCCTCACCACTCCTATTTAACATAGTGTTGGAAGTTCTGGCCAGGGCAATCAGGCAGGACAAGGAAATAAAAGGTACTCAAATAGGAAAAGAGGAAGTCAAATTGTTGCTGTTTGCAGATGACATGATTGTATATCTAGAAAACCCCATCGTCTCAGCCCAAAATCTCCTTAAGCTGATAAGCAACTTCAGCAAAGTCTCAGGATACAAAATCAATGTGCAAAAATCACAAGCATTCTTTTATACACCAATAACAGACAAACAGAGAGCCAAATCATGAGTGAACTCTCATTCACAATTGCTTCAAAGAGAATAAAATACCTAGGAACCCAACTTACAAGGGATGAAAAGGACCTCTTCAAGGAGAACTACAAACTACTGCTCAATGAAACAAAAGAGGATACAAACAAATGGAAGAACATTCCATGCTCATGGGTAGGAAGAATCAATATTGTGAAAATGGCCATACCTCCCAAGGTAATTTATAGATTTAATGCCATCGCCATCAAGCTACCAATGACTTTCTTCACAGAATTGGAAAAAACTACTTTAGAGTTCATATGGAACCAAAAAAGAGCCCACATTGCCAAGTCAATCCTAAGCCAAAAGAATAAAGCTGGAGGCATCACGCTACCTGACTTCAAACTATACTACAAGGCTACAGTAACCAAAACAGCATGGTACTGGTACCAAAACAGATATAGACCAATGGAACAGAACAGAGCACTCAGAAATAATGCCGCATATCTACAACTATCTGATCTTTGACAAACCTGACAAAAACAAGCAATGGGGAAAGGATTCCCTATTTAATAAATGGTGCTGGGAAAACTGGCTAGCCATATGTAGACAGCTGAAACTGGATCCCTTCCTTACACCTTATACAAAAATTAATACAAGATGGATTAAACACTTAAATTTTAGACCTAAAACCATAAAAACCCTAGAAGAAAACCTAGGCAATACCATTCAGGACACAGGCATGTGCAAGGACTTCATGTCTAAAACACCAAAAGCAATGGCAACAAAAGCCAAAATTGACAAATGGGACCTCATTAAACTAAAGGGCTTCTGCACAGCAAAAGAAACTACCATCAAGAGTGAACAGGCAACCTACAGAATGGGAGAAAATTTTTGCAATCTACTCATCTGACAAAGAGCTAATATCCAGAATCTACAATGAACTGAAACAAATTTACAAGAAAAACACAAACAACCCCATCAAAAAGTGGGCAAAGGATATGAACAGACACTTCTCCAAAGGAGACATTTATGCAGCCAAAAGACACATGAGAAAATGCTCATCATCACTGGCCATCAGAGAAATGCAAATCAAAACCACAAGGAGATACCATCTCACACCAGTTAGAATGGTGATCATTAAAAAGTCAGGAAACAACAGGTGCTGGAGAGGATGTGGAGAAATAGGAACACTTCTACACTGTTGGTGGGACTGTAAACTAGTTCAACCATTGTGGAAGACAGTGTGGCGATTCCTCAGGGATCTAGAACTAGAAATACCATTTGACCCAGCCATCCCCTTACTGGGTATATACCCAAAGGATTACAAAATATGCTGCTATAAAGACACATGCACACGTATGTTTATTGCGGCACTATTCACAATAGCAAAGACTTGGAACCAAGCCAAATGTCCAACAATGATAGACTGGATTAAGAAAATGTGGCACATATACACCATGGAATACTATGCAGCCATAAAAAATGATGAGTTCATGTCCTTTGTAGGGACATGGATGAAGCTGGAAACCACCATTCTCAGCAAACTATCGCAAGGACAAAAAAACCAAACACCACATGTTCTCATTCATAGGTGGGAATTGAACAATGAGAACACATGGACACAGGAAGGGGAACATCACACACTGGGGCCTGTTGTGGGGTGGGGGGAGGTGGGAGGGATAGCATTAGGAGACATACCTAATGTTAAATGATGAGTTAACGGGTGCAGTACACCAACATGACACATGTACACATATGTAACAAACCTGCACATTGTGCACATGTACCCTAAAACTTAAAGTATAATAAAAAAAGAAGATATACAAATAATCAATAAACACATGAAAAAAATAATGTGTATTGTAATTTCCAGAGCAATCACTAAAAAAATACAGTCATATCTTTAGAAAGCCAAAAGAGGAATCAAAATAGACCACTAAATAATCTTTTATGTACATAAACTAAATCTCAGGAGTAGAACAAAATGGAAAAGAAAATAGATTAGAAAATTGGAAAGCAACTAGAAACATAGTAGAAATAAGTCTAGCCATATCAATAATTTTATTATAGTTGGACTAAACACTCAAAAAGCAAAGTCTGCCAGACTGCATAAAGATCAAGACTCAATCAAATGTTACGTGCAAACTACATGCTTTACATATAAAGATATAAATAGGTTGAAAATAAAAGGTTGGTGCAATGGACTGAATTGTGTGCCCCACAAAATTCATATGTTGAAGCCTTAACCCCTCCCCCACCATGTGACTATATTGGAAAGAGAGTGTTTAAGGAGGTAACTAAGGTTAAATGAGGTAATAAGGATAGAGCGCTTATTCAATAGAACTGGTATCCTTATAAAGGGAAAAAGACATCAGAGATCTATCTCCCCCTACCATGTAAGCATACAGCAAAAAAGAGGCCATCTGCAGAGAAAAAGACCTCCTTACCAAAAAACGAACTCTGCCAGGTCTTGATCTAGGACTTTCAGCCTCCAGAATTTTGAAGAAAATAAATTTCTGTTGTTTAAGACATTGAATCTATGTTATGCCACCCCATAACAAAATGCAGTTCAAAAAAGGTATACAACACAAACAGCAAGAATAAGGAAGATGATGTGGGTATGTTAATAACAGGCATCAAGACAAAGTATGTTACAAGAAATAAAGAGAGACATTTCAAAATGATAAGAGTTGCCTCCTTAGGAAGACATAATATTATAAATGTGCATACACTAAATACAAAACCAAAAACTGATGAAACTAAAGGGAGAAATAAACACACGTTGTTAGGAATTTTACTACTCTTTTCTCGATAATTGATAGAACAAGTAGATACAAATCAGCAAGGCTACAGAAGATTTGAACAACACTGTGAACCGCCTTGACTTTATTAACATTCATGAAACACCCTACCCCAAAATAAAAGAAAGAACATTATTTTTAAGTACACATGAAATATTCACCAAGATACTCCATAGGCCATATCCTGGGCCATAAAACTAGTCTCAATAAACTAAACATATTAAAATCATACAGTATGGTGTCTGATAAGGGTAGAATTCAATTGCATATCAATAACATTAACATCTCTATAAAGGCCCAACTATCTGGAAATTCACGCCACACTTCTAAATAAACTAGAATTTAAAATACAGGATATTGAAAATTAGATGTTTTGTAACTACTAAAGAAATTAGATTTCTAATCAAATGTCTTTATGCACACACACACACACACACACACACCAGCATAAATGTTTTCATTAGTGAGTTATATCAAATCCTCAGGCAAGAAACAATACCATTCTGATACACATTTTTTCAAAAATTAGAACAAAGATTATTTTCCAACTAGTTTAAATGAGGCCAGCATACCTGTGATACCAAAACCTGACAGAAACATTATAAGTAAAGAAAATTGCAGGTTAAAATCTCTTAGAAATATTGGTAAACTAATTATCAGCAAATTGATTGATTCCAGCAATATATAAAGAGAATAATAAATCATAAGTGAGGTTAATCCTAAAAATGCAAGGTTGGTTTAACCTTTGAAACAATCAGTGTAATATGCTGCATTTACAAAATGGAGGGAAAAATATTATCATCTCAGATAGATGCAGAAAAATATTAGACAAAATCCAATACCCATGTTTTATTTTTAAAATTAAAATCCTAGCAGGCTTTTTATTTTTTTAAATTAAAGAGAGTTGAAAGCCAATTCTAATATGTGTATAGAAATTCAAAGATCCTAGAATAGCCAAGACAAATTTGAAAAAGAGCAAAGTTAAGGGATTAATACTGCCTTATTTCAAGATATATTCTAAAGTAATAGTAACCAAGACAGTATAGTATTGATGTACAGGAAGGCTAATATATTAGTGGAACTGTAAAGAGACTTCAAAAATAGACCCACGGATTTACAGTAAATTCTACCTTTATAAAGGTGCCAATGAGGATATAAGTTTTTTTAATAAATGGTGTTTTAAAATGAATAAAGCATATGGAAAACACAAATCATACCTTTCACCATAACCAATAATTAATTCAAGAGGGAACTCAGGAACATTCTAATTCCAGTCTTTTCATTATTTTAAAATATACAATAAATAATTAACTATAGTTGCCCTATTGTGCTACTGAACATTAGATCTTATTCCTTCTATCTAACTGTAATTTGTACCCATTAACCATCCCTAACACAAAGAAATGACAAATGCTTGAGGTGATGGATACCCCAATTACCCTGATTTGATCATTGCACATTGTATGCTTGTATCAAAATATCACATGTGCCCCATAGACATGTACAACTTTTATGTATCTATAATAATTAAAAATTTTTAAAGGAATTCAGTGGGTTCACATAATTTAAGGGGTTTTCAAATTTTGTTTTTGATTTGTTTTTGTTTATTGTTTTTGTTATATTTATTTTAAAATAAAATCTAAATCTATAAACCTTCTGAAAAAGAAGTTTTAGGCAGCCAGCCACAGTGGCTCACACCTGTAATCCCAGTACTTTGGGAGGCCGAGGCAGGCAGATCACAAGGTCAGGAGTTTGAGACCAGCCTGACCAACATGGTGAAACCCCGTCTCTACTAAAAATACAAAAATTAGCCGGGCATGGTGGTGTGTGCTTGTAATCCCAGCTACTCAGGAGGCTGAGGCAGGAGAATCGCTTGAACCCAGGAGGCAGAGGTTGCAGTGAGCCGAGATCACACCACTGCACTCCAGCCTGGGTGACAGAGCAAGACTCCGTCTCAAAATAAATAAATAAATAAATAAAGGCAAATAAATATCTTCATAACATGGTAGTAGGCAAATTTTTCTTAGGCATTATGAAGAAAAGCAATAGCATAAAAGAAAAAATGATAAATTAAGCTTCATTAAAATGTAAAACGTTAGCTCATCAAAAGACACCATTAAGAAAGTAAATAGGCAAGCCGCAGACCGGGAATACATATATAGGTCTGAGAAAGTACTTATATCTAGAATATTCAAATAATTTCTACAAATAGAAATGAAGAAGAAAAACAGAAAAAAAATGGGCAAAAGACTTAGACACTTTGCAAAAGAAAATATACAAATGGTGAAAAAGTACACAAAAATTTTCTCAGCATCATTAGGGAAATGCAAATGAAAATCTACTAGAATCACATTCTGCACACCTGCTCCAAATGGTAAAATGTGAGACAGATGATACAGAATGTTAGTGAGAATATGGACAAACTGGACCTCTCAGACATTGCTGGCAGGAATAATAAATGCTATAATTTCTTTGGAAAACTCTTTGGCAGTTTATTATAAAAGTTAAATATATACTTACCCTGCAACCCAACAATTACACTCTTATTTATTTACCCAATAGAATTTAAAACAAAAATCCAAAAGAGTCTTCCACAAGAAAACTTGAAATAACTTTGTTTGTAATAGCCCCAAACTGGAAACAACCCAAAGTCCATCATAGGACAATGGATAAATAATTATCCATTATGCCAATTATGGCATATCCACACAAAGGAATGCTTCTCAACAATAAGAAAAGAATAAACCACTAGTATACCAAATAATATCAGTGAATCTCAAAACTGTCATGACCAAAGGAAGCCAAACATAAAAGATTACATGCTGTTTGATTAGACTTATGTAAAGTTCAAGAATATGAAGATAAAAATCAAAACAGGAGTAGCTTATGAGGTGTGGGGAGTTATTGGATAAAAATAGTGGAAACTATCTGGGGTAATGAAATTGTTTTATATCTTGACTAAGGTGTTTAATTTGTCAAAGTTCATTGAATTATACATCGAAGATATGTATATTTCTCTGCATGCAAATTTTACCTAAATTTTTGAAACTCACGACGTAAAAGTTGAATAAATACCATCTTCCAAGGCCTTGGGTAACATATTTAGACACACGACTACACGTGAGCAAAGTAACGAGCAGAAAATCTAAAAAGAGTAGGCAGAAAAGTTAGACAGTGTCATGCCAATACCGCCCAAGCTGTTTACAGCCTGTCTGTAAAAGGTTTCTCACAAGTGGAAAAACAGACAGGCCCTGTATTTGCACTGCCAACTTTGATTATGGAGGACACCATGGGGATTGGACAATCTGCTGCCATTACTTTCCCTCATCAGTAAACCACTTCAAGGATATCCAGCAGGTAATCTTTGAAAAAATCTTTGCAAAGCAAATATTCCAGAGAAACATTGACAGCTCTGGTCCCATAAAAGGCTATATAAAGAACCACTCAATGGGAAAAGCTGTTGATGAATTTGAAAGACTGTTCAGGGTATCTGGTGAGAACAGAGTGTGAGTCCAGACGGAAGAAGTAAATCAAAGTACACGACCAGATTGAGATTTTTTAAATCTGAACCATGATGATGGCCTAAATCTTGCCTTTCTTAGGAGAAAAGTGCTGTAACCAAAGGGGCCTCTCAGGGAACTTAAAGACACACACCAAACTTTGAAGAAAAGAATTAGCAAGACAAAAACAGCCGGTATTATTTTTGAATAGTTTTACCAGTAAAATAGACACCTATAGTCACTTCAAAACTAAATTAAAATACAAGCAACTAGTTTGTGGGAGCTCTATGCCAACAGCAGGGCAATTTCAAGGCTGAATTTGATTAGTGCACTGGCCAGGAATGGAAAAAGATGCAAAATGTCAAGAGATGATGAAATGATACAATTACAACATTCATCAGGGTAAAAGAAGGAGTGAGACGCAAGATGGTGACAAAAAAAAGCCCTGCCTGGAGAGGTTTTATCACTGTCAACTAATAGCCAGAGCAGTTTTTGATACGTGCTGGCCATGTTTGTAGGATCTCTGGTTCTTGGATTCTTAGTGAGATGAACATGCTGACCTCACTGACCATGCTTATAAATATAATTCACAGTCTACTAGTTTAACTGAAGCTGTACTTCAATTTTAGAAAGTCATTTCTTTGCAAAAGAAAAAAATTAGTATGTGTGAAGATGTAATCAGCATCAACAGGGTTCAATTAACATCCCCCTCTCCTTCATTTTAAACGAATGGAAGGGGGTAAGCTTGAAACTGCATTTGTAGTTTTATGCAATTTTACTCCTTCGTAGTACATAAAAACCACATTCTCTACTGTGTCTTTTTAAAAAAATCTAAGCTCAAGTGCCACTGAGGAAAGACAGCTAGAGCTGATTGAAATCTAAAAGCAACCAAGCCTCAAATGCCTTAGCAGTCTTCATTTTGTCATAGTATGAGTGCTACTGTAGTTAAGAAAGGGCATTTAGCAATTGTAACTGCATGAAGTTCAAGCCGGGATAGTGAATTAGAGAAGTTCACAGCCAGGATCTAGGCTGATAGAAAATGAAATGTTTTCTAGAACACAGGTGGTCACTGGGAGCTGGCCCTCAGGGACCTGTGTCATAAATGCCTGCTCCTTCCTTCCCTTCCCTGGGGGCTTGTGGTCAGACGAGGCTGGACTGCCCCTCTCTGACCAGAACAAGCTGGATATTCTCAGCCAGCCCACAGACTCAAAGGACCTCAAGGAAAGGGAAATGCAAGGCTTGTCTCCCTGTTCTCTCCAGTCACAAGAAGGATGAATCCTGCCCTGAATTGCTCAGAATAAAGGATGCTTTTTCGCTAGGGACAGTATTAGTGGCTGGAGGCTTTCACTATGTGGAGAAAGATGCTCAAAGATCAATAGCATGGAATTGGGGGAAAAGACAGTCTTTCTTTCCTTTGCTCTCTCTATAAATTCCGTCTCCTATGCTGCAAGGCCTCATAGTTGTTCTTCTTGGGAATAATTTCCATCACTGTATTTCAAAGTAAACCTTGTCCTGATGCTCTCTGAAGCCCTCAGATGGACAGTTCTTGGAATCTGGGTGCTCTTCTCTCTGGATGCATTCTGTTAATTTCTCACCACCTCAGAGATGCATTCCTCCTGCACCATCCTCCACAAACAATAATGATGATGATACTAATAAAGCCTAAGACAAGAAATTGAGCCAGCTCTGAACTAGACATTGGGAGGAAACTTTCCAGCCTGCCCTTTCTCTTGTCTCTTGCTAGTCTTCTGCCCGTATCTAGATTAGCTCACTATCAAATTGCATTGAGATTGAGGACTCAAGCCTTAGCCACTAATTACTTTACTATTTCACCTAGGGTGATGTCTAGAAGAGGTCTCTCCTCTGAACTCCACAACTGTAAGGCCTATTTCATCCTTGATGTCTCCATTTGGTGTCTTACAGGTGCTTCAAACTTAATATGTCCAAAATAAAACTCTCCTTCTCTCCACCCAACCTATTTTTATCTCATTCTTCTCCATTTTAGTAAATGGCACCTAGTTGTTAAGGGCAGACTTACGAATTATATTTTATCTCTTTCTCTTTCATACCCATCCCATTTCTAATCTTTCTCAAAAAGTCTTGCTCATACTACCTGCAAAATATATCTTGAGTTTGCCACTTCCAGACGAGGCCAGCATTGCATTATCTCTTGCCTTGTCTTGTCTTGACTATGAGGTAATAGATGTTTTTTGTTTTAAGCCACTAAGTTTTGTAGTAATTTGTAACACAGCAATAGATAACAAATAGAGTTTACTCATCTATAAAATGTGCATAATAATACTTAACTTGCAAAACTGTTGTGAGGATTAAAAATAATCTATCATAAGCATCTTGCATGTCATAGGTATTCAATAAAGAGCTGAACTTGAAAATGAAATACAGTCCAATGAGAAATTGGAAGGGAACGCTGCCCCCAAACTCCTGGGCAGTCGAAGAATGCTTATTGATATTATGTAAATATTTTCCATCTAGCAAGGGTAAAAAATTTCCTGAAAAGCTCAAGTGAAAATGTATTTTATACTCCATTCATGTATTTCCTATATTTTATTTTCTCTTTCAGAAAATGTAAACTCCTTGAATATGTTCATCATCCTATTATGTTGATCACCATCATCAACAATAAACACTTGCTGAGTGTGTTATGCTCAGTTTTGCACACAGTTCCCAAGAACCTCCAGGATTAAGAATGCTCATTCCCACACCTATAATCCCAGCATTTTGGGAGGCCAAGGCAGGCAGATTGCCTGAGCTCAGGAGTTCGAGACCAGCCTGGGCAACACGGTGAAACCCTGTCTCTACTGAAAAATACTAAAAAATTAGCCAGGTGTGGCAGCATGTGCCTGTAGTCCCAGCTATTTGGGAGGCTGAGGCAGGAGAATTGCTTGAACCTGGGAGGCAGAGGTTGCAGTGAGCCGAGATTGTGCCGCTGCACTCCAGCCTGGGTGACAGAGTGAGACTCCATCTCAAAAAAACAAAACAAAACAAGAGAAAAAAAGAATGCTCATTCTTCACAGCCCATTCCCAACAACTACTATAAACCCTATTGGAGCTGTTGAAGGCTAGAACAATCAGTGAACTCACGTAAATTGTGCTTTGTTCTGGGATTTCTCCCATTTATTTTGGACATTACAACCCTTTGTTTTGAGGGACTATTACCCCTCCCATTCCAACCATAAGTGTCTCTGCTCTTTCCTCTTCCCTACTCCTCCACTCCTCAGAAGTGGTGGGCATAGGACCCAAACTGATCAGAAGCCTTCCCTGGGACTTTTCAAATTGAGAAAGGGGCAAATAAGGGAAGTGGAGCATTGCTACTGCTAACAGTCATGACTAGAGCTTTGTGGAACAGGTTGGTCTGAAAGAATGACGTTGTCATAGAAATGAGAGAGAAACTGACACAAAATGCTCTGAAGCATTCCAGTCTCTGAAGCTTGCCTTACCCTTCTCTCTGCAGTAATTTATTTACATGCATCAATATATTCCACTTTGTGCTGTATCAAATTGGGTTTCTGTCCCTTGATATCCAAAGAACCTTGACTAATGGAGCTAGGCATGCCAAGAATGAACCTGGAGGTACTAGAAGGGTAAGTGGACACTCAGTCCAAATTTGGATGGAATGTTGAATTTGATGAGGTGCCCTTATTCAGCTATAATTAAAAAGTAGGAGGGGAATCTATACCAATTCAAAATGTAAATTATTCAACTTATCTTCTGAATACATTTGTAATAATTGCTCTTTAATGAAGTAGAGCCCACATAGTGAAATCTGCACACATCATGAATATGCAGCTCAATGAATTATCCCAAAAACGGACATACTAAGGAACCATTATCCAGATTAAGAAAAAGTGTCACTATTACCCCAAATGCACCCCTTAGTATTAGTGTGCTGAGAGATCAAAGGAGGTTGCTTTGATCTCATCTGAAATTAAGCTAGAGGGGCCTCAGAGAGCCACGTGAGCTTGATATAGGCCCCTGGAGTTTAAGTGACATCACAACTGGCATGTAGTAAGCCCTAAAGAAGCTCGGGCTGGAGGTGTGATGGAAGCTGCTCCTTCCTGAGCACAGACTTAACAGAGCCAAGTTGAGAATGAGTGCATCACATGCACAGACGGCAGGGCAAAGGTGGGTGCCTTCCCAACACCAGAAGCGGGCTTTGTGAAAGGTCTTGAGTCCATCAAAACTGAGTTTGTTTTAAAAAGAATCCCACTCAAGAATGACTTGAGAGGCAAAAGACCCCTAAAATGAGATGAAACATAAAAGCCTAGAAGTTGTGAGACGATAATGGAGATTGCCGGTGGGAGGACCAGCATGGCTTAACTCATGGCAGACGCAGTCGGGGCAGTGAGTGAGAGATGTTCTCAGAATGTGCAAACATGTTACACGGGAGAGTCCTCAACACAGAATCAAGCAGGGAGAAGGAGACAGGAACAAGGCTGCTTTTATATGACACTCATATTATACTCTAACAAGTACAACTTGTTTGACAAAACAGATTCGGGCACGTGTATTATCTTCCTTACTCAATGGTAAACAGTCTGAAAACAAGTGTGTTTTGTTCACTCCCACCTGTACCATGCAGATGAATACATTACATACTTACTGGTCAGCACACTGAAGTGAGTTTTGATTCACTGCCTGTTAAGTGAAGATACACAAAGTGTCAAACACAGATGGAGCAAGAGGAAGGCTAGAAAATGAATGTGAACACAAGAGTTATTCAGCACTTCCAGAGATCTAATGCTATTTGTTGCTCTTCCTCTTTTTTTGTCTTTCTATTCCCTTTCCATACCTCCATGACTAGAAGCTGGGGTGGCAGCAGCCCAGGACATGTGTCAAGCCAGGAGCTGAGGAGAGAGCAGCAGAGTCAGGGCAAAGTTGCTGGCCTGCAGGGAGGGTCACACATGGGCCCTGAGCAGAGGAGGAGGCATGGAGGGTGATGAGAGCAGAGTTTCTCACTATTGGAGAAGGGATTTGCAAATCTGGGAAAGGTAGGAGTAGACATAAAAATGTGTGTGCATTCATGTATGTGTGTGACATGTATAATTATGTATATTCCCAGATATTTATTTTCTAGTTCTGTTTCTGAGAGGGCCTCTGAGCAACTCCAGAAGCAATAAGCATAGTGAGGGCCCAGATCATGACTCCTAGAAACCTTCTTCCACTAAAACAAACAAGGAGGCCTCAGAAAAATGGCTGATTCAGGGCTAGGACAAGGAAAGTACAAGATACACCTATAACATCTTTTTTGTGGCAAAATGTAAGGAAGTGCTCAAAGAATGAAAGGGACATGTCAGAAGGACACAGGAGCCCAGCAAGAGCCTGTCACTGACAAATTTTGGAAAATTTGAGCATCAAAATAAATAATTATAGAAACAGATTGCAGCCCTTTGAATAAGATAGAAATCTCGAAGAATATTCTGGCCTTAAAAAATAAATGAAGAAAGAAATTTACATGAATTTTCCTTAAATTAGTATACCAAATAGTAAGGGTGGAAGAAATAATGGAAACAGAGTATACCACATCAGTGGTTGTTGATCCAGGTGGTAGTCTTCCAACAGATGCTTAGGCTGGAAGCTAGAGGTTTGATGAGGAGCAGGATGTTGATAGTCTCGGAGTATTTCTCTTCAAAATACTTTTCAGTTACAAAAGGAAACACGGGGACTTTAAGGTGAAGAAATCTGACAAACATCCACTTGGATGTGATCAACGTTAACATCATCGGCTGTGGGACAGATCAACTCCATGTGGCCCTGATATGGATTCACTGAGATGAGCTCAGCATCATTTCTATGGTATTCCTACAGGAATGCACAGCTTGAGACTGGACACAAAGAAGAATCCAGCAGACAAATTGAAGGACAGCTCACAGAACCAAACTGTCAAGATCCTAAAAGACAAGGAAAGATGAAGAAACAGTTGCACATTAAAAGAGATAAAATACACATGACAACTAAAGGCAATATGTGATTCTGAACTGAATCTTGAGCCAGAATGGAAAAAGAGACCTTGTTGAGGTACTTGGAAAAAATTTAATATGCTTCATTGACTAGATGTTATTGTTGCATTAATATTGATTTACTGATTTGGGTGGTTGCAGTGTGGTTATGTAGGTGTCTGCCAACTCTCAACACCTTGTTTTGGAGATTTACATACTGCTGTTTTTAAGGGAAAATGGGGTATTAACACTGCAACTTGCTCTTGAATAGTTCAGCAAAGGAATAGTATATGGGGGAGTGGGGGTGGGGGGAGGAGGGAGGGAGAAGAAAAGGAAGGAGAAACAAAGAGAGAGAGAAAATGTGATGAATACAACAAAATGTTTACAGAAGAGTAAGACTGAAAGAGATACAGGAGTTTTTTGTTCTGTTGTTGCAACTTTTCAGAAAATATGAAATTACTTATGAAATTACTTCAAAATAAATTATTAAAACATTTAAAATATTATTTTAATTATTTATGCTTACATATTGTCATTTATTTGATTCATATGACAAGCTTATTAATTGTTATGAGTTGAATTGCATTTTTCCAATATTCATATGCTGAGGTCCTAACCCCCAGTACCTCGGAATGTGACTTTATTTGGAAATGAGTCATTGAGGATATCAGTAGTTAAGTCAAGATGAGGTCACATTGGATCAGGTGGGCCCCTAATCAGCTATGACTAGTGTTCTTGTTAAGAGGAGAAATTTGGAGACAGACATGCACACAAGGAGAGTGCCATCTGAAGATAAGGAGAGAGCCAAGAGATACCAAAGATTTCTAGAAAACCACCAGAAGCTGGGGCAAAGGCAGGGGACATATTTTTTCTTACAGTCTTCAGAGGGAACCAATGCTTATGATTCCTTCCTCTCAGGCTTCTAGCCTCCAGAATTGTGGTAAAATAGTTTCTGTTGTTTAAGCCACTCAGACGGGGCCACTTTATTACAACAGCCGCAGCAAACTAATACACAATCTCTGAAAGCCTACGGAAATGAAATGAAATGACAGTGTTACACAATAAGATGCAAAAATTAGGAGGGACTTTAAGACAGTTTCTTTGGATTAGGAAAAGAAGATAATTACCTGATATTCCTTTACTTATTCAATTAATGTTTGCATATTTTTAATGTGACAACCTCTGTTGTAACTACAGGGACACAATAGCCACTATACAGGCAAAGCTCTTACTTTCATGGAGCTTATATTCTAATGGAGGAAGGGGGATAATAAACAGGTGGTCATAAGTGAAGAAATATAAAATAAAAAAGGATGAGGAGCTGTAGAATAATAAAACCTACTATTTTAGGGGGGTCAATCTGAGAAGCCCTCTCAAAAACTCAAATAAAATGAGGGGATGGGAAAGAGCTTTCCACTAGCCAGAACAGCAAGTGCAAGACAGGCAGGAATTTGGAGTATTGAGGAACAGCAGGAAGGCCATTGTAGCTGAAGCAGAATAAGAGATGGGAAGAGTAATTAGAGATTGCACTGGAAAAGTAGCCAAGGATGAGATCATGGAAGAACTTTAGAGCAAGGATTTTAAATTTTATTCCAAGTGTCAAGGAAAGCCATTTCAGCGTTTTAAGCACTAGAATGATGTAAATAGATTTATATCTTCAAAGGGTTCCTGTGGCTGCTATAAACAGCCTGTAGGAGGCTTGCATAGAATAAGGAGGCTGCTTGGGGGCCTGGGCTCAGGAACTTCTGTTTGCTCCTCCAGACCCTCTCTGTACCTGTCTCCACTCTGGGTCCCTAGAATCTGACCTTTCTGTGCTATGTCCGAGTTTCCTTGACTTCAGCTCATGGGAGCAGCCAGCAGAACACTGAGAAGAGAATGTGGCTGGTGCGTTAAGCCTCCCTGCTCCCTCCCTGCTAGGTTGCTGAGGGTTGGCTGCATCTCCCTACCAAGGCCACAGCCGCTGTCAGCCCCTAATTTCCCTGAATTTTGGTATCTGCTCGCTCCCTTTGTCCCTTCAGGGTTTTGGGTGAAAATCACTTCCTATTGATAGAACATTTCTTTATTGGTTTCCCTAACCCTACCTTCACCTTTTCAAATAATCTCCTTAGCTTCTCTCTCTAATTCATCAGTTTGTGTGTACTATCTTTTAACCCTGCCAGATCCCGGGCTGACACTGAGCTATTGCAGTAATCTGATGTTTTCTTGGAGTAAAGTGGTATCAGTTAAGGTATAAAGACGTTGGATTTGGAATGTATCTGGAAGGTGGAGTTCATGGTATTCGATGATGGATAGGCTATGGGGCATAAAAGAGAAATAAAAGAGGATGATTATAAATTTTGGCTTGAATGACCAGAGCACAGTGGAGAATTTAAAAGCAGCTTTTGCAGATAAAAAGAATTCAATTGTGTGCACAATAATGTAGAATGTTAGACAGTCAAGTTTTAATGTTGAGTGGGTAGTTGCTGTTGAAGAAAAAGGCCAAAATTGGAGACTGGCCTCCCTCCAGTCACCATGGAGCAATAGGGGCTGGACTTATCCTCTAACCTCAAACAATGAACAAATCGAAAAAAATATATGAAACAACAGTTTTTAAGACACTTGACACCAGGCAAACAAAGGACAGTGAAACTGAGGAAAGAAACCAATGGGATGAGGTGTACAATTGCCCTGGGTTACTTCCTTGAGAGAGTTTACATGCTCTGACACAGGAAAGAGGAACCCAAGTAAAGCCTGGAAGATTCTGAGTTGAGGAGATGGAGTGGAGAGTGCTGGGAGGCCAAGGAGGTGGAGTTCACAGGACAGAGTAGCAGAGAGGAGAGAGTACACAGAAAGAGAATTCCAGAGATCCACATAGGGTTCCCCTCAGGTATTTAGCAAAGTATAGATCCATTCATGTATGTGAGGAAATTATCCAAGGCTGGAGAAAGGACCACTTGAAAAATAATTGGAACTCATACAGGACCAGAAATAGTGCCTGTCCCAACCAGCCGGAATAAAAACTTCATTGTTTATAGGCAATGGGTAGAGTACACAAAAGGCCTTCCCTCAGTAGTGGGGATTAATAAACCCTGGACTGAGCACTTGTCTTGTCTCATTTAGCAAATCTTCAAAGCAAGATTTGAAAAGATCAAACTGTTTGCAAGAACTAAGTAACTGAGTATATCCCAGAACTAAGCTCAAGAATACTTGCAGGAAACAAAAATGTGTCCAACCCTCAACAAGTTAAAATTTACAATGACCCATCAGCAATCAATATAATCAATATTACCTGTCTAAATTCAGACAGATACAGATGTTAGAATTAGAAGACAAGGATGTTAAAACAGTTTTTTAAAACTGTATTCCATATGTTCAAAAGGTTAAATAGAGAGAAAATTTGAGGGAAAAACAAACTTGTTGAGGTGATAATTACAATGTGAGAAATTTTAAAAAAAAATAGTGCTGCATGGGATTAATAGCAGATTACACATTATGGAAGAAAACATTAGTGAACTTACAGCCATAGCAATAGAAACTATGCAAAAGAAGAAAAGGAGTAAGAAATAATGAAAGGATTAGTGAGCTGTGGAATGACTTCAAGTGGTCTAATTTGCCTTTAATTGAAGTCTCCTAAAGAGAGTAGAACAGAAAGAATATTAGGAAAAGTCATGGAAAAATGTTTCCAAATTGCATGAAAACCTATATACCTGAGAATTCAATAAACTCAATCACAAGAAACATGAAGAAAACTATACCTAGATACATTATAATCAAATTGGTTAAAACCAGTAATAAAGAACAATCTAAACACAGCCATAGAAAATATATAGAGAACCTACTAAAGAACGAATTTAACAATGACACCAGATTTCATATCAGAGACAAAAGCAAATGAGAAGACAGCAGAGTAACATTTTTATTAAAATGAAGAATGCAGATACAAATTGACAGTCAACAACTTTTAGATGATATATAAAACTATGGAAACTAAGAAGTGAATGACAGAAAAAAAGAGGATAAAGAGAGTGGAAAAAGAGGAATGAACAAGTAATAATGAAAAACGGCTAATACCTATAAGAAAGAAGTTGACGTGAGACACTTAGAGGCTGACTTTTTGAGAACTGATAACACTCTACTTTTGTTCTTGACCGATAAAGCCAACAATTCTTAATATCACTTAAGAATAAGTAAGAAACAATAGTATGAGATCAATTTGCAACTGTTTAGGGGGCAAAATTTTGCTACTATTTTTATTTTCATGCTCAGAAGAGCCACATGAGGTAGATTTTTTGCTGTTTTGGCGATTGTTCAAAAAGAGACTTTTGTTTTTCTCTTTCTCATGTCTCCAAAAGGTTATGACACATTCATCAGATTCATTGAGCCCTCTGATGTTGTCCTTATCTGAAATGACTCCTAGAAATCCTTAAATTAATCCATTTTGTTCAAAGATAAGGCTTTTAGTTTTAATTATGAAATTAAAACCAAATTTGGAATCCGTATAACAAATGGCATGGCTTCTCTTAGAAGTAAATTCTGAAAGGAAAAACAATTTAGGAAAAATATTCAGGTTTGTTGTGATTATGACTGGGCTGTCAAAAATTGAAAAAGGGAGAAGAATGAGAAAGACGGTAGAAGAGAATAGATAAGGCAGGCTGGTGGCCACTACAAAGCCAGCCTCCATACTCCACAATGCAAACAAGAACTCAACCAGAAGCTAGAACCAGGGGACCTTGGTTTGGTTTGTGCCTCAAAGAGGGAAAGAAACTGTAGTGGCCAAAAAATAAAAAAGGAAGTCAGCCACTTTAAATGTATCAGACTACGTATTTTCAAATTTGTAAGTATGAATATGATATTTAAAAATATTTTTTATACAGAGCAAAGTCAAAGCAGAAACTTGACTGTATTCTCTATTCACTCTCATTGTCCGTAATGATGGTTTTGTTTTCTGAAATTATACTATTCTTCTTTAACTTGTGTGAATATCGATGTATTTTATAGCATATTTTTAACTATTCCATCACAAGGCAATTCTACCAAGGCCTAATTTGAAAGTAAAGCAATTCTATCACTTTGTCTGTGACTACTTCATATCTTTCTCTTTCCTTTTTCTTTATTCCCTCTCAATATTTATCCATCTCCCTTTCTCCTGCTCTCACGCTCTCTCTGTATTAGTCCGTTTTCTTGCTGCTAATAGACATACCTGAGACTGGGTAATTTATAAAGAAAAAGAGGTTTAATGGATTCACAGTTCCACTTGGCTGGGGAGGCCTCACAATCATGGCGGAAGACAATGAGCAAAGGGACATCCTACACAGTGGCAGGCAAGAGAGAATGAGAGCCAAGTGAAAGGGGAAATCCCTTATAAAATCATCAGATCTCCTGAGACTTATTGAGTACCAGGAGAACAGTATGGGGGAAACTGCCCCCATGATTCAATTGTCTCCCACCAGGTCCCTCCCACAATATGCATGTGGGAGCTACCATTCAAGATGAGATTTGGGTGGGGACACAGCCTAACCATATCACTCTCTCTCTCTTTTACAGTGAAAAAGAAATAATTTATGTGGCATTAGAGGCAAAGCAAGCCCCTAGGGATGCACAAGGGAAAGAGAACAAAGCTAGCAATCATCCATTACATCATGTGAGTGTAGCTAATCACAGTTTCTTTCTTTTACTTGCAGCAAACATGACCAGAATTGTAGAGAAAATAGTGCACTTAAAAATAATGGCTTTAAGAAGAGTCATGTTTTTATCAGTTCAGTTGAAAAGACACAGTATTAGATTCTATAGTGGCAATTCCCTAAGGCAAAGAGAGGAAATTCCACTTTTGGAAACATTGAAAATATCACTACTATTAAACTATTTTAGAAAATATGGTTGAGCACTTCATCTAAAGATCCAGTTCATATCACAGCTATCTTAAGCAACTGCATTTGAGAGCAATAAGTGATCCCCTGAAAAAGACCCAGTTGGCCCTGTTCCAAGTGGGTCATGTCATTTCAAATCACAGAATCTTAGACCTAAGAGAATTTTAGAATGTATCTATTCCAATCTTCCAATGAATTAAAGAATCCATTCTATAATATCTTTTATAAATGCTAATCGCATCTCCATGTGAACTGCCCCCAAAATAGGAAACTCACTGCCTTACAAGGTAACACATATCAGTTTTTTGAATGATGTTAATTGTAGAAATGTCTTTTCTTAATTTTTTTAATCTTTTAAAATTTTTTTAAATTTTTTTTTTTAGTCTTTTTTATATTTAACTAAAATCTACCTTCTTGCAGCTTCTATTCTCAGGAAAAGATAGTAAGCATCAGCACTGGTCTCTCTGCCCTGGGAACTGTTCTAGAGCTCCAAATTCGGAGATACCCATCTGGCCAGCATTGGATAGGCAATGCAGATGCCAGAAGAGAGTGTGGGATTCAGGATACTGGAGAACAGGGATTCAGGACACTTTAGAATCTGGGTAGTAGAGAGTCACAGCTAGGATGATCACATAATTTATATATAAACCAAGACACATTTTTGTCTTTTTCTAATTTAATATTTTAAAATGTTTATGGGTGCATAGTAAGTGTATATATTTAAAGGGTACATGATATGCTTTGATACAGGCATATGATGTGTAAAAATCACATCAGGGTAAGTGGAGTATCCATCACCTCAAGCATTTATCATTTCTTTGTGTTAAAAACAATCCAAGAATACTCTGCTAGTTATTTTTAAATGTACAATAAATTTTTGTTGACTCTAATCACTCTGTTGTGATATCAAATACTAGATCTTATTCATTCTTTCTATTTGTTTGTATGTATTAACCATCCTCACTCTCCTCTACCCCACCCACACCCTTCCCAGACTCTGGTAACCATCATTCTACTCTCTAGCTCCATTAGTTCAATTGTTTCAATTTTTAGCTCCAACAAATTAGTGAGAAAATGTGAAGTTTGACTTTCTGTTCCTGATTTATTTCACTTAACATAATAACCTCCAGTTTATCCATGTTGTTGCAAATTATAAGATCTCATTCTTTTTTATGGATTAATAGTATTGCCTTGTGTATATGTACCACATTTTTTTATCCATTCATCTGTTGATGGACACTTAGGTTGCTTCCAAATCTTCTGCTATTGTAAATAGTGCTTTAGTAAACTTGGGAGTGCAGATATATCTTCAGTATATTGATTTCCTTTCTTCTGGGTATATACCTAGCAGTGAAATTGGTAGGTCATATGGTAGTTCTCTTTTCAGTTTTCTGAGGAGCTTCCATACTATTCTCCATTCTGATTGTACATTCCCATCAACAGTGTACAAGAGTTCCCTTTTCTCCACATCCACACCACCGTTTGTTATTGACTATCCTTTCGATGAAAGCCACTTTAACGGGGTGAGATGATATCTCACTGTGGTTTGGTTTGCATTTCTCTGATGATCAGTGATGTAGAGCACCTTTTTATATACCTGTTTTCCATTTGTATACCTTCTTTTGAAAAATGTCTATTCAGATATTTTCCCCATTTTTAAATAAAATTATTACTTTTTTTCTAATTGAGTTGTTTGAGCTTCTTATATGTTCGGGTTATTAATCCCTTTTTAGATGTATAGTTTGCAAATATTTTCTCCCATTCTGTGGGTTTTCTTCACTTTGTTCATTGCAGAAGCTCTTTAACCTGATACAACCCCATTTGTTCATCTTTGCTTTGGTTTCCTGTGCTTGTGGGGTATTTATTATTCAAGAAATCTTTGCCCAGACCAATGTACCAAAGAGTTTCACCAATGTTTCCTTTTTGTAATTTCACAGTTTCAAGTCTTAGCTTTAAGTCTTTAACCCATTCAGATTTGAATTTTGTGTGTAGTGAGAGATAGGGGTCTAGTTTAATTCTTCTGCATATGGATATCCAGTTTTCCAAGCACAATTTATTGAAGACACTGTTCTTTCTTTCTGCAAAATATGTTTTTGGCACCTTTGTCAAAAATGAATTCACTGTAGATGTATGGATTTGTTTCTAGGATCTCTATTCTGTTCCATTTGTCTATGTGTCTGTTTTTATGACAGTATCATGCTGTTTTGGTTAGTATAGCTCTATAATATAATTTGACATCAGGTAATATGATTCCTCCAGTTTTGTTCTTTTTGCTTAGGATAGCTTTGTCTATTCTGAGTCTTTTGTAGTTCCACATAAATTTTAGGATTGTTTTTTTCTATTTCTGTGAAGAATCTCATTGGTATTTTATAGGGATTGCATTGAATCTGTAGATTGCTTTGGGTAGTACGAACATTTTAACAATATTGAGTCTTCCAATTAATGAACATGAAATCTCTTTCCTTTTTAGGGTGTTCTCTTCAATTTTTCTCATCAATGTTTTACAGTTTTCATTATAAAGATATTTCACTTCTTTGGTTAATTCCTAGGTATTTAATTTCATGTGTGGCTATCATGAATGGGATGACTTTTTTATTTCTATTCCAGATTGTTCACGTTGGCATATAGAAATGCTACTGATTCTTGTATGTTGATTTTGTATCCTGCAACTTTATTGAATTTGTTTATCATTTCTAATAGTTTTCTGGTGGTATTTAGGCTTTTACAAATATAAGATCATATTATCTGCAAACAATGATAATTTGATTTCTTCCAGTCTAATTTGGATGCCTTTTATTTCTTTCTGTTGTCTGATTGCTCTAGCTAGGACTTCAGTACTATGTTGAATAACGGTGGTGAAAATTGTCATCCTTGTCATGTTCCAGATCTCACAGGAAAGGCTTTTAATTTTTCCCTGTTTAGTATGATACTAGCTGTGGGTCTGTCATATACAGCTTTTATTATGTTGGAAGTATGTTTCTTCTACACTCAGTTTTTGGGTTTTTTTTTTTTATCATGAAGGGATGTTGAAAATTATCAAATGCTTTGAAATAATTATATGGATTTTGTTCATTCTGTTGATATGATGTATCCATTTATTTATTTGCATATATTGAACTATTCTTGCATCCCTGGGATAAATCCCACTTGGTCATAATAAATGATCTTTTTAATGTGTTGTTGAATTCAGTTTGCTAGTTTTTGGTTGAGGATTTCTGCATCAATGTGTGTCAACGACTTTGCTTGTTGTTTTCTTTTTTTAATGTTTCTTTGTTTGGTTTTGGTATTAAGATATTACTGGCCTCATAGAATGAGTTTGGAAGTATTCCCTCTTCTATTTTTTAGACTAGTTTGAGCAGGATTGGTATTAAAATTCAGCAGTGAAGTCATTGGGTGCTGGGTTTTCTATATTGGGAGACTCTTCATTACAGTTTTGATCTCATTACTTCTTATTGGTCTATTCAGGGTTCGGATTACTTCATGGTTTAATCCCGATAGGTTGTATGTGGGTAGGAATTTATCCATTTCTTCTAGGTTTCCCAATTATTGGCATATAGATATTAAGTAGCCCACTAATAATTCTGTGAATTTCTGTGGTATCAGATGTAATGTCTCCTTTTTCATCTCTGATTTTATTTATCTGGGTCTTTTTTTTCTTTAGTGTTGCTAAAGTTTTGTCAATTTTATTTTTTTAAAAAAACCTTTTGTTTTATTACCTTGTGTGTTGTTTTTTATTTCAATTTCATATATTTCTGATCTTATCTTTATTATTTCTTTTCTTCTAATTTTGGGTTTGGTTTGCTCTTGCCTTTCTAGTTCTTTAAGATGCACCATTAAGTTGTTTATTTGACAGTTTTCTACTTTTTTGATGTAGGTACTTATTGTTATAAACTTTCCTCTTAGTACTGCTTTCTCTGTATCCCATAGGTTTTGATATGTTGTGCTTCCATTTTCATTTGTTTCAAGACACTTTTAAGTTTTATTTTTAACTTTTTCATTTACCCACTAGTCATTCAGGACCATATTGTGTAATTTCCATTTGCTTGTATAGTTTTCTAAGTTCCTCTTATTTATAATTTTTAGTTTTATTCCCTTGTGGTCAGAGAAAATACTTGATATGATTTCAATTTTTTGAAATCTTTAAGACCTGTTTTGTGGCCTAACATGTGGTCTATCCTTGAGAATGATCCATGTACTGAGGAGAAGAATGTGTGTTCTACAGTCATTGGGTGAAATGTTCTGTAAATATTTATTAGGTCCCTTTGATCTATGGTACAGATTAAGTCCCATGTTTCTTTTTTGACTTCCTGTCTGGGAGACCTGTCCAATGCTGAAAGCTGGGCCTTAAAGTCACCAAATTGTATTGATTTCTTATCTCTTTTAGTTTTAATAATATTTGCTTTGTATATCTGGGGACTCCAGTATTGGCTACATATATATTTAAAATTGTGATACTCTTCTTGAATTTTACCCCTTTATCTTTGTATAATGACCTTCTTTGTCTCTTTTTGTAGTATTTTTCTTGAAATCTTTTTGTCTGCTCTTTTTTGGTTTCCATTTGAATAGAATATCTTTATCCATCTCTTTATTTTCAGCCTACGTGTGTCTTTATAGACAAGATGTGTTTCTTGAAGACAACATATCACTGGGTCTTGTTTTTTTATCCATTCAGCCACTCATTGTCTTTTGATTGGAGAGTTTAGTTCATTTACATTAAATGTTATTATTAATAAGGACTTGCTACTGCCATTTTGTTATTTGTTTTCTGATTGTTTTATCTACCTGCCTTCCTTCCTTCCTTCCTCTCCCTCCCTCCCTCCCTCCCTCCCTCTATTCCCCCCCTCTCCCTCTTTTGCTTTCTTCCTGTCTTCTGTTTTGTGAAGGTTATTTTCTCTGGTGGTATGTTCTAATTTCTTGCTTTTTTATTTTTTGTATATCTCTTGTAGGTTTCTTAATTTAAGGTTGCCATAAGGCTTGCAAATAAAATCTTATAACCCATTATTTTAAGCCAATGGCAACACTGATTACAAAAGCAAAGAGAAAACTAATAAAAACTATACTTTAACTTCATACCCCCTCCTCACTTTTTAACTTTTTGTTGTTTCTATTTATGTCTTATTATACTGGGCTTTAAAAAGTTATTGTAGTTATTTTTGATAGGTTCATCTTTTAGTCTTTCTGCTCAAGACATGAGTCATTTATACATAATTACAGTGTTATAATATTTTGTGTTGGTCTGCGTACTTACTACTACCAGTGAGTTTTGTACCTTCAGATGATTTCTTATTGCTCATCAATAGCCTTTTCTTTCAGACTGAAGAACTCCCTTTAGCATTTCTTGTAGGCTAGATCTGGTGTTGATGAAATCCCTCAGCTTTTGTCTGGGAAAGTCTTTATTTGTTGTTCATGTTTAAAGCATATTTCCACTGGATACAGTATTCAATGATTAAAATGCTTCCCTACAGTACTTTAAATATGTTATGCTACTCTCTCCTGGCCTGTAATGTTTCCACTGAGAAGTCTGCTGGCAGACATATTGGATCTCCTTTGTATGTTGCTTCTTTTCTCTTGCTGCTTTTTTAGAATCCTTTATTTATCTTTGACCTTTGGGAGTTTGTTTATTAAATGTCTTGAGGTAGTCTTACTTGGGGTAAATCTACTTGGTGTTCTGTAACGTTCTTATACTTGAATATTGATACTTTTATCCCAGTTTGGAAAATTCTGTTATTTTCCTTTGATAAATGTTTTACCCTGATCTCTCTCTGCCTCCTCTTTAAGGTCAATAACACTTTTGAGGCTATTTTCTAGATCTTGCAGGTGAACTTCAGTCTTTTTTTTCTTGTTTTCTGTCTCTTCTGTGTTTTTTAAAGCCTGTCTTCTAGCTCACTAATTCTGTCTTCTGCTTCAATTCTGCTATTAAGAAATTTTGATGCATTCTTCAGTATGTCAATTGAATTTCTCAGTTCCAGAAATTCTGTTTGATTGTTTTTAATTATTTCACTGTCAAATTTATCTTTTAGGATTCTGAATTCCTTCTCCATGTTATTTTGAACTTCACTGAGATTTCTCAAAACAGCTATTTTGAATTCTCTGTCTGAAAGGTCACATATTTCTGTCACTCTGGGATGGGTCACTAGTGACTTATTTCATTTGGTGAGGTCATGTTTTCCTGGATGGTTGTGATGCTTATGTATTTTCATCAAAGTATGAGTATTGAAGAGTTAGGTATTTATTATAGTCTTCACAGTTTGTACCCATCCTTTTTGGGAAGGCTTTCCAAGTGTTCAAAGGGAATTGAGTGTTGTGATTCAAGTCTTTGGTTACTGCAGCCTTATCCGCAATAGGGGGCACCCCAAGCCCAGAAATGCTGTGACCTTTGCAGACTCATATAGATACAGCCTTGGTGGTCTTGGGTAAGATCCAAGAGAATTCTCCAGATTCCCATGCAGATACTCATTCTCTCCCCTTAGTTTCTCCCAAACTAATGGAGTCCCCCTCCATGCTGAGCTGCCAGGAGCTGGAGGAGAGATGGCACAAGCAACCATGTAGCCACCACCACTGGGACTGCACTGGATCAGACCTGAAGACAACATGTCACTTGCCCAAGGCCTACAGCAACCACTGCTTGGTAACCACCAATGTTCCCTCAAGGCCCAGGGGCTCTACAATCAGCAGCTGGTAAATCCTAACAGGCTTGTATCCTTACCTTCAAGACAGTGAGCTCCCCTCTGGCCCAGGGTGGGTCCAGAAAAGCTATATGGGAGCCAGGACCTGGAGTTGGGAACCGTATTAGTCCATTTTCACACTGTTACCACCTGAGACTGGGTAACTTATAAACAAACGAGATTTAATTGACTCACAGTTCTGAATACCTGGAGAGACCTTAGGAAACAAGGGGAAGGAAGGTACATCTTACATGGTGGCAGGAGGAAGACAGAGTGTGAGGAAGTGCCACACTTTAACATCATGAGCTCTTGTGAGAACTCACTCACTATCATGAGAATGGCATGGGGGAAACTGCCCCCATGATCCAATCACCTCCCACCGGGTCCCTTCCTCGATATGTGGGGATTACAATTCAAGATGAGATTTGGGTGGGGACATGGAGCCAAACAATATCAGAAACCTTAGGGATCTACCTCGTGCTCTATTCTACTCTGGTTGAGCTGGCATCCACACATCAAGACAAAGTACTTCCCACTCTTCTCTCATCTTTTCTCAAGCAGAAGAAACCCCTTTCCCTGTGGCCAGCACCACCCCAGGCTGGTGGTGAGCACTGCCTGGCTACTGCACACAGTAGCCTAAGGGCTCTTCAGTCAGCTTGTGATGAATGCTGCCAGACCTAAGAATCTCCTTTCAGGATAATGGATTCCCTCTGGCTTAAGGTGGGTACAAAAATGCTGATCAGGAGCCAAAGCCTGGAATTGGAGGCCTCAGGAGCCCTCTTTGTGCTCTACCTCACTGTGGCTGAGCTGGTACCCAAGCTGCAAGACAAAATCCCCTTTATGATTCCCTATGTTTTCCTCAAGCAGAAGAAATCTGCCCCCTACCCCCCACGCTGGGCCCTGCCCCATGGCCACCACAGCTGGGAGTGTGCTGGGTCACACCTGAAGCCCACACTGCACTGGGTCTCATCCAGGGCTCATAGTGAGTACTGCTTGGCAACTGCTGATGTTTATTCCAGGCCCAAGGGCTCTTTGGTAAGCAGGTAATGACTCCTTCCAGGACTGGGTCCTCCCCTTCAAGGCAGCAGGTTCCCTTCTGGGCCAGGGTGTGTCTAGAAATATCATCTCAGAGATAGGGCCTGAAATGGGAGTCTCAAGACTCTGTCTTGTGCCCCATCCTACTTTGGCTGAGCTGGTATCCAAGCTGCAAGACAAAGTTATCTTTGCTTTGCTCCCCTCCCCTCCCCTCCCCTCTCCTCTCCTCTCCTCTCCTCTCCTCTCCTCTCTACAGTGGAAAGAAGGGGTCCCTCTCAGAGCTGTAAGCTGAATTGTCTGGGGTTAAGGGAGGGGTGAAACAAGCACTCCCTTGGCCACCCCAGCTGGAGTCCCACTAGGTTGTGTGCACCTTAAGTCCATTGGCTCCAAACCCAGCGTAGCACCAAGATTTGCCCAGGAATTGCAGTCATTGTTGCCTAGACTGCCTTTCAAGTTTATTTAGGACCCCAGCAGCTTTAGCCTGTGGTGGTGGGGCTAGCCATAACTCACATTCTAACTGCTGGGATGGGTTATTCCCCTCTGGCTAGGGTTGCTCTAAATATTCCCTTTGTGGGCACCAGCCAAATTCTGCCCTGTATTGCTTTCTGCTGTAACAAGGCAGCGCTAAATTCAATGCAAAGTCTCATAATCACTGTGCTCTCCTCTGAAGCACACAGATTCTCTCCACACCACGTGGCTGCTGCCAGTGATACAAAAGTGGTGATGTCGGTGATACAAGACTGTCTTTCCTACCTTCTTCAGTGCCCCTTTCCTTGATATGATATTCAAGTCAGGTATCATGATTGCTCACCTGATTTTGTTTTTTATGAATGTGCTTTCTTATGTGGATAGTTGTTCAACTTGGTGTTCCTTTTGGGGAGAGGTGGGTACAATTGCTGGAGGGTTCTATTCAGCCATCTTGCTCTGCCTCCTCCTCAACCAAGACATTTTGAGAGTGAGAGAGGTGTTATGAGCAATCATACCAGGACAACAGGCATGAACTGATACTCCCTCAGGTTACATGAGCATACTACTTAAGAAAAATGTTCCTAGGACAGAAACAATTCTATGTGTTCACCAAAACATTTCATTTTCCTCCTGGACAAAAAAAAAAAAAAAAAAAAAAAAAAAAAAAAAACACTTTATTTGCTATCATTACCACTCCAAACATACACAAACACACACACTCACAAACACAGCAGATAGATACATTGAGTCATGAGACATAGATTAGATAGATAGATAGATGGATAGATAGATAGATAGATGATAGACAGATGATAGATAGAGTTATGATTATAAGTCATGGGCAACTTGGTGTGAGCTGAAGTGATGCTCTCTGTTTCAGGCACAGCCATAAAACATCCTGAGTCATATTAGGACAGTCCCCATTGACTCCTTGATGATGGAAACATACAGTGAAACGAGTCAGGATTCTGAGTTTCCTGCTTGGAAGAGAGCCACCAAGGAGAGCCACTGACCAGGAACCTCCTCATGAGACTCTGCATGAGCAAAAAATAAATCTTTGTGGTATTAAAGCTCTGTGAGTTTCAGGTTATCTTTTATATTTTATAGTAGTTATCATACCCTGAGTAGCACAGATCCGAAGCATGGAAATAACAAGATCAAGCATTCCGGGTTCCATTTTTTTAATTCTACTTTATAGGGTTTATCCTTAGAAAAACCCTCTATCATCCTTAGGGAAATATTATGGGTGTACTACTCAATAAAGCAAAACTATTTATTATAACATGAAATTTAAAACAATCTAAGTGTCAAAAATATACATTGTTTAGAAATGTGGTAGATTTGTAGGATGAAATATTATAAGAACATTAAAAATGAAGAAAAAATAGACACATATTTTGTGACAAAGTTAGCCTATCTAATGCCTTACATTTACATCTATGCATAGAAAATGTATTGAAAATATATGTTCCAAAATGTTAACAGTGATTACTGTAAGTTGTGGATGTGATTTTTATCTCTTTTTTTGTTATTTTGTTTTTTTAATATTAAAATTATGAATCCACATACACATATAATGTCTATAATCAGATATTTGCAAATTCTCACAGACAACAACTAGGTGAAATTCAAGAGTGGACAGAATAGAACCATGGAGTATTCAGTGCCAGGGAAATGGCCATCAGGAGCCAAGGAACAAGAAACTACTTCTGGAAAGAAGAGGCACACAGGTACCTGTAACAAAGCAAACAAACACAAAAGACTAAATGTGGAGCCATTGTCTCAGTCCCACCTGCTTTCACCTATCTAAGAGCTGATAATGACCCAGTTTTTTAATTTGCTATTGATAACTACAAAGAACTGAGTAACTGAGGGGTAAATTCAGAGACTACAAACAGACAGTTTTCTGGCAGAAGCATTTACCTGAAACTAACCTTACTTATGGGGTTAAGAGTAGAATGGCAGGAGAAAAGATTGGATATCATCTTCCTGCATTGCTAAATATCAATAAGCTTATTTATTGCAACATGTTTTGATCCAAAATGATAATGCAATAAGTATCTCCCTTGAATCTCAAAGGGAAAACAGAAAATGACAGATTCCTCTTAAATTTTTTATTGTTCTCAGTTTAATAATACATCAACAGAAACAATTTTTATGCATTCAACATTCAAATCATGTCCTTTAAGTCTTTTCAGACTAAAAACTATATCTTTGCAATATGAGTACTCTAGAGAATAACATCAAAAGTTAACAAAAATGTATCAGTATTCCCAATTTGCAAACATGGTATGTAACTAAAGAAATATATTCAGGGTTTTGTCTGTCTGCTTATTTATTTGACTGTTTTAAAATTCATCTTTATCTAGTTTCACTTCTTTCAGCAATAGGCTGAAAGAAGTTTGTTTCCCATTCTTCTTTGTGACTTGTCAGAGGTTTTAAAGAGTGATAATCCAGAAACAAAAGTCAGGGAAATTAAACACTCTAGCATTTCAATGAAGGATTTAGCAAATCCCCTTTTATAAATGTTTGGAAATTCTGGCAATTAAGTAAGAAGTACTATAGGCTGAATTTCACCACCAAGACATTTTTATAGGTATTATACCAATAGGCAACATGGTGAAACCCCACCTCTACTAAAAATAAAAAAATTAGCTGGGTGTGGTGATGTATGCCTATAGTTCCAGCTGCTTGGGAGGCTGAGGTAGGAGGATCACTTGAGCCTGAGCAGTTGAGGCTGCAGTGAGCCATGATTGTGCCACTGTACTCCAGCCTGGGTGAAAAAACAAGACTCTGTCTCAAAAAAGAGAAAATATTATAGCTATGCTATATTTCAGTCTTTGGGGATATTGTTAACATATATCATGATTTCTGATTGTAAAATAGATCATACTTCATTCAGGAATCTCATTATGTAAAGCATTTCAAACCACAAAACCATGTTCTTTAAAGTAGGAAGTTTATGAGGGGTTTTTGTTTCTTTATTTTTATCTTTTTAAAATCTTATCTCTGTAAGACAAAATAAATGAAAAGATGTCCCATGTTCATGGGTTGAAAAAAATTAATATTGTGAAAATGTCCATACTACTCAAAGCAATCTACAGATTCAATGCAATTTCTATCTGAATTTCAATGACATTTTTCACAGAAATCAACAAAAAAAATTCTAAAATTCACATGGAACCCCAAAAGGTCCCAAATAGCAAAGCAATCTTCAAGCAAAAAGAATAAAGCTGAAGATATCACATTACCTAATTTCAAAATATACTACAGAGTTACAGTGACAATGACAGCATGGAACTGCCATTAAAAACAGACATACAGAACAATGAAACAAAATGAAGAGCCCAGAAATAAATTGACACATTTATAGTCAATTGTTCTTAGACAAAGTTGTCAAGAACACACAATGGGGAAAGGACAGTTTCTTCAATAAATGGTGTTGGGAAAACTGGATATCCATGTATAGAAGAGTAAAATCAGATCCTCACATTGCACCATCTATAAAAACTGGGTCAAAATGATTAGAGACTTAAATGTAAAATCTGAAACTATAAAACTACTAGAAGATAACATAGAAAAAACATCTTAACATTGGTGTGTGGGCAAATTTTTTTTGGATATGACCCTAAAGGCACAGGCAACAAAAGCAAAAAATATACAAATCAGATTTCATCAAACTAAAAAGCTTATACACAGCAAAGGAAATAATTAACAGAGTGAAAAGGCAATCTATGGAATGGGAGAAAATATTTACAAACTGATAAGGGATTAATACCCCAAGTCCGTAAGGAACTCACAAAACTCAATAGCAAGAAAACAACCCAGTTAAAAAGTGGGCAAAGGAGCTGAACAGACATTTCTCAAAAGAAGACATACAAATGACCAATAGGTATATGAAAAAATGCTCAACATTTTTGTTGAGCATTATTGCAAAAATCAGAGAAGTTTCTCTAATGATCAGGGAAATGCAAATTAAATTCACAATGAGATATCACCTCTCAACTGTTAGAATGACTGTTATCAAAAAGACAAAATAGCAAGTGTTGGTGAGGATGTGGAGAAAAGAAAACCCTTGTGCACTGTTGGTGAGAGTGAAAATTGCTATAGCCATTACGGAAAACAGTATAGAGTTTCCTCCAAAAATTAAAAATAGCACTACCATGTGATTCAGCAATTCCATTCTTGGGTATAGAGCCAAAGGAAATGATATCAATATCTCAAAGAGATATCTGCACTCCCATGCTCATTGCAGTACTATTCACAGTGGCAAAGATAGGGAATCAACCTAAATGTTCAATGACAAATAAATGGATAAACAAAATGTCTCTTATACATATACAATGGAATATTACTCAAACTTAAAAAAGAGGAAGCCGGGCACGGTGGCTCACGCCTGTAATCCCAGCACTTTGGGAGACCAAGGTGGGTGGATCACGAGATCAGGAGATTGTGACCATCCTGGCCAACATGGTGAAACCCTGTCTCTACTAAAAATACAAAATTAGCCAGGTGTGGTGGTGCGCACCTGCCGTCCCAGCTACTCAGGAGGCTGAGGCAGGAGAATCGCTTGAACCCAGGAGGCAGAGGTTGCAGTGACCTGAGATCATGCCACTGCATGCCAACCTAGGTTATAGAGCGAGACTCCATCTCAAAAAAAAAAAAAAAAAAAAAAACACCATGCAAAGTGAAATAAGTCTAGCACAGAAGGACAAATACCGCATGATCTTACTTTTCTTCACATCATCACCAGCACCTGTCTTGTCTTTTTGATAGCATTCATTCTAACAGTGGAATCTAAAGAAGTCAAGCTTGTAAAAGCAGAGAGTAGATTAGTGGCTGTCTAGGGGCTGGAGGGTGGGGAAAATGGGGAGATGTTGGTCAAAGTGCACAAAGTTTCAGTTATACAGGATAAATAAGTTCTAGAGATCTAATGTACAGCATGGTGACTACAGGTTATATCATTGGGTTGTATACTTGAAATTTGCTAAGAGAGTAGCTCTCACCACACACACACACTTACACACAAAATAGATATAACTATGTGAGATGATATGTATGTTAATTAGCATGGCTGTGGTAATCATTTCACAATGTATAAAGCATGTTGTACACTAGACATATATACAATTTTTATTTGTCAATAATACTTCAATAAAGCTGAAAAAAATCCTGTCTCTTAATTATTGTAGAGAAAGTTACTGTAGTCTGCTACACATGGTGATGGTATACTTCATATAAAGTCTTGGTGGCCAAATGTTTTCAATAAGGATGGAGGAAAGAGGGTTATGTAGATCACCACTGAGTGATCTCTCAGTTTCCTTGTGTGTAGCATGATTTGTTCTAATAAATTGTATGTTTTATAAGGTACCAATTATTTTAAAAGCATTTAAATGCAATTGTGCAAATATCTGTAGTGTGTCTAAATATGTACACTTTTCAATGATTTTATTCTTTTGAAGTTAAAAAGGTCTTATGTCCAGAAATAAATTCATTCTCAGATATTTTTAATTTCAAATTTATTGCTAATAAAATTCAATGAAACATTTTCTCCAAGCTGCCTTACATAAACAATTCCCATTGATTATTTCACTGGAAGCAGTGCAGGCAGTTATACCCTCTGCAGCATTTTGGGGGATGATGGGGGCAGGGGTTCTTCACTGACAAGGCATTGAGTCATGAATCTGAACAGTGCTTCTTGTCTGGACACCAAGATGAACGGATTAACAGAACTGGTGCTAGAAATCCAAAAAATATATATCTTCAAGCAAGTCCAAAGCTATAGCATCCCTTTCAGGGCCAAACTGAGACATATGGGCACACAGGGCATGCTAATAATTTGGCACTGCTTCCAACTGATAGTCTTTGAACATGGAACATATATTAACAGACAGGCTGAGCACTGAGAGAAGCAAGAGCAAAAAAGTGTTGGTTCAGATATCAGACTCTCCTTCAAACTGCAGAGCAATTCAGGGTACGTTCCCCACTCAAGGAACAAACGTTCTCTAGAGGGCACTTTAGAAGAAAATAAATGTTTCTTTGAAAGCATTTTAGAGACCATCAAGTGATCATTTCTTACTTGAACATGCCTCTGGAGGTCACATTTCCCATCATTTCTGGTTAATGAATATTATTTAGCACCTACTTTGTTTCAGGCACCCTGCTTAGCTGGGGCTACAAGGGTAAGGGAGCAGCTTATCATATGGTGTCTTCCAATCATCTGCAATTCCTCCCTGAGAGGAGCTCTGGAAAATGCGATTTGCTACAGCTCCCAGCATTTTCACTCAGCTAGAGTGGCCTCACAGACATTTCAGTGCCCCTGGTGCTAGCTCTGCCGACCTATTCCTTATTCTGGCTCTGAGCATACTACTTCTCTATAGACAGAAATAGCTTGACCTTCAAGAAACCATTCTTATATTTCCTCTCTGCCAAGCTAATTTAAATAACAACACAGGAATGGGCCATCATTACCGTGTTTTACTAACAACTTGGAGTTGGCTTTGCAAAGCTCTGTGAAGTCAGGTGGCAGGGATGGCATCTGAGGTGTAGGAGGGCCTGAGACCAGGGTTCCTCAAGCCTGGTGTGATTGGGCCATGTGGGCTGTGAGGGTTTGCAGACTTTCACTGAATCTTTTTCCCAGGTAACATAGAAAGACAGGTGGACCACCAGGATTTTATGCAAGCCACTGTTTAACTCTCTTACTGTAAGTGGTTCCTTTGACATCATCTATATTGCTGGGGAAAGACTTCCAATGGGTTTATAGATTTGAAATCTGTAACTCAGGAATGGTACAACAAATGGGCCAACAAGCAAAAAGCATAATGCCTGTTCCCCCTCCTCTTATTCCCAAAGAGTTCAGAACAGATAAACAGTGACTTGTATAACAGGAGTTTTAGAGGTGGTAGAAATGCCTTTTGCCGTATCATATTGTCTCCTTCATGGGCATAATACCAACTGACACTATTTGCTGAGGTTGAACCAATTCTTGAGGCTTGCTTTTGTGGCTTCTCCTGCAGAAGCAATCCTTTGGTACACAAATGTATTGTTTTGTGCTTTCAAGTACAATCCTTCACTCACTATTTTAACCTTAAAGCAATGGTTAATTTACTCCATTGAGATCATACACTAATTTTAGCAATTTTCATTGCCTTGGTTTCATGGAAGAATCATAAAATAAGGTTTAAATTTCCAATACAAAAATTATTTTCATTCTGTAGAAGGAGGCCATTTTTTACATTAGTTAATCTGTACTTCTTGGCTTACTTGAACAGAACAAAAATGCAGCACACCTATAAACGAGTAAAACTGGAATTTCCTCCTTCTTAAGAAAGTAAATCACAAGCATTCTTAAGCCCCAGGGAGGTGTGTTATGTATACATTTTTGGCTGTAACATAGCTCTACTATGGAACATTAATTTAAAAAGCAATAGGACCTTCATATTACAGTCAAACAATCTGTACATAACTTGCTTTCTCGTTTTTGCACATCATGCCTCAGCCCCCTCTAGTATCCCTCTCTTCCCTGATTCCAACTAAGGCTCCATGTTTACTGATGTGAGTTTTTTCTTTTTTTCTGATTTCACATTCCCCACGACATTTAACTTGAACTAAGAGGTTAAATATGCCACCTCCTCACATACGTGCCCTCAAAATGTGAAGATTTAAAGACTGGGCTGGGCTTATGAATCAGGAATGCAAATTATCAACCAAATGACAACTGTTAACTGAAGTCTCAAAGAAATTGTGCCTGTTTAACAGCTAGGTAGCTAATAACTATACTTATCTAAACATGACTTGGGTTTTTATTCATTGTTGTATATAAACAGGGATGGGGACAGCGCGAGAGAAGTTTTTCAATGTGGTAATTATTTTTCAGTTTCTTCGTTGTTCTTCTACATGTTGTGATATTCTGCCTCCCAAATTCTGGAAACAACTCCAGTGATTTGATAGGAATGTCGTTCATGCAAACAGATGGAGTATTTGAGAGAATAAATAAAAATATTCAGTGAAATTTCCATGCAGAAGTAGCATACCTTCTGCGAAACATCAATAATGGATTGATAGTTAATACTAACATTGTGAAATTATCAATTATCAATAATATCCAAATTACTTTTGCTTTAAAATAAGAAAAAATTATTTGATGCTTTGGAGTTGGGGAGGTAGTAGTTAATAAATTTTTTTAATTTAATAAAACATATATGCAACTGACACATGACCTCTGAAAATAAATAAAGCAGCCAAATGATCTCTATATCCTTCTGGTGCTGTTGGGTAGATGCCAAAGTGCAGTGCAGCTGGTAGAAATGCATCTGTGCTCGCCAAATATCATTGCTGCATATTCACTCATGAATGCAGAAGCTCCAGCACATCCAGAGACTGCTGGACAAATAGGCCAGACCCACACTGCTTGCACAGACATTTAGTTTCAATCACATATAGATTCCCTTACACTGATGTGTATTTGTGTGTGTGTGAGCACAATATTACTGAACCAAATTGTTCACTTAAAGTTAAATCTTCACATGCAATTACCACAGTACCATATATGCAATACAGTAAGCACCAAGTAAATACCAATTAAGGTTGATGAGATGGATGGATATAAAAAAGATTGACTGCTTCCATGATGTGGAAAATGGTGTAATCAATACATTAGCTATGCAAATCTGAAAAAAATTATACTTCTGTGAACATCTATGCACACAACTGCTCAAGTTACAGTTGGAATATGACAAATGTCAAATGATATTGTTAATTTTCAAATTTCATAATGGAAGTAAAATATCTGAAATTCATAGTTTCTAAAACTGCACCAAAATATAAGAAATAAAAGATACAGTCCTGACTTTGTAATTATTGTGCTACCAAATATGAAAAAATGGTATACACAAAATGCAGTTTTCAAATAGGTTTTATTACAATCTGAGAAATTTGTATGCTTACATCTCTGTGGTGCGAGGGACAGAAATGCTCAAATATTTCAAACCACTGAAAATTCACATCCAATATATAACAAAAAGAAAAGATTAAATTGTGAATTAAGAGTAAGAGAAATAGACTTTGTGAAGAGGAAAATATTTTTCTAGATTGCCAGAGCATGTGTGGTTTGCACTTTCATGTTTTCCTCATACTGTTTAAAACATCAGATTTTAAAGACAATGTGACTGTATTCATTTGTTTCCATAGATTCATGTCATTACCACATAGTATTTTAGAAAAACTTTTATATGCAATTGTCTGTGAATTTATAACCAATCATGTAATGAGAGAATTTTAAATACATATGCTCATTTTAAATAACATTTCTGGATTTAAAAATATATGGACACGTGAGTAAGATGTTTATAACCTTCACTGTGCTCTGGCTAAGCGTTTAGTGTATTTAACATGGAATAAATGCTAGTCGTGTGCTCAGAAACACACAAATGACTACAACATGCATCCGTATTTAATGATGGAGTCCCACTCTTTGCAGCTATAAATAACTTGTCTGCAAGAAATATGAATGAATGGAAAGATAAAGCTTGTGTTTTGCAACTTGATGTGTACAGGATCCCAGCCATAATCACTTATTCCACAATCCATATCACTGCAGAAAAACTTGCTTCGTGAATAGCACACAGCTTCTGTGTGCAAGTAAGACCCTTGGGTTAGCTACTCTGGAAGTTCAAGTTACACTGCTTCATTTGCCTGCCTTTTCACTGCTTTCCTTCAGCTGTGTGAACTATTTCATTTTGACATTTTAAATACCAACCTCCTTAAGATAAAATGTGACTGGGTCCTTTGGAGTGCTTCCTGGCATGGATCCTCTTTGCAAAATGGATGTGCTTTAATAATAGATATTATTCTAAAGCTACCACTGGGCTCCTACCTTTAGCAAATGTCTGAAAGAATTACAGACCTTTATTTTGGTAGTTGCCAAGCTGAGCACTGACCAACCTGGAGGGGGAAGGAGAAGTGGAGGATAAGTATGCCATATATTTACTTACTTATTTATAAAATGGAAAGAAGAAATATTAGATAGAGCCTAATGTATTACTACCTATGACCAAGTTGCTGCTGCTATCCAAGTCAGCTTTTAAAAGTAATAGAAGCAATATATTTTAGTCTTTTCATTTGCTTTTGCCTGGTATTTCTGTGAATGTTCTCCTGTGTTAACCGTAGAATCATCTCCTAATGCCACACTGGGATGTCTGGTAATATCTATAATTTAGAACAGCATATGAAGAATAACAGGCTATTGACATTGTTCCTGCAACCCCTATTACTATACGTTCCAAAATACTATATGTAGGTCCTAAAGAAACAGGGGCTAGAGACAGCATCCAGGGTTTCCAATGTGAAGATGACAGATTGCTCTAATACAGACATGACAGGCAGTGTAATTTCTAAAAAATCTAATCTCATGTTGCGTCTGAAAGGAGTATACAGGAGTTACCCAGCGGCCAAACAAAAATAAAAAATAAATAAATAAGAGGGAAAGATAAAATCTTATGAAGCATTTTTTTCCCACAGCATTTTTCTGAAGCAATAGCAAGGAGAAAAAGCTATCCTGACATAAAAAATAGATCTAAAACACGCAGTGGCTGAGGAAGGTGGTGAAAATGCAATTGAACACGAGGCAGCTAAAGAGACAGGGCCAACACTTTTGGAATAGCAAGCAGTTTGGTTAAACAATAAACAACATATAATTGAAGACTGCTCCAAAGAGCTTGCCTCTGGACTGTGCTGTCTCTATTTACTGAACACACGCCTGCCATTGGTCTGTGCTGAGCAGACCTGGCACTCAGGTGACCTGACTTTGACTTTGAGAGTCCCCTAAGAAAACTAATCCCAGACAGGCTTAAGGAGAATCTCAACATCTCACTCTGTCTCCTTTCTCCTGCTATCTTGACACAATAGGTTAAAACTGGAGGATTTTCATATTACCTTGTTTTTCATTTTGAAACAGAATATTTTGAAGCTGTATAAAAATATGTCAATTTCCTATTGTAAATACTACAGGTATAAACATTTAAAACAGACATACGGATCATGCTTAAATGGATATTTTAAGTGCAACTATTGGAGGGAAAGTACTCATATCAGTAATATTGCTTAAAATAAAATTCCCAAGCATTTCTTCAAGGAGAATTTGGGGTTAACTAGCATAAGGGGAGATTGCAGAGAATGCAAGAGCCAGGCATTACAGGCAGGAACTATGTAACCCACTGCCCCCGCTCATGCATCTGCTGGATCTCAGAAACTCAGACTTGCATTTTAAAAGCTGTGTCTTTCCTATAGCCATCATGGGCTGACACCAGGGCCTGGTGGCATCACATGCACTGCCAACAATTGGTGAGACTGTGGGAGGATAAAATGAAACACACAGACCTATCAACCTCTTTAACCACCAGGCCTGCAAGATGTTCATAGTTGAGCTTGTATCTTCCCATCTGTCTCCTTGAAGTGAAATTATTTTCATCAAAAAGAAAAAAAGTATTCAGTGTTCATAGTGAGGAAAAAGTGCCTGGTCGAGAGTGTGTTTATTTAAAAAGAAATTAATTCCTAGCCAAAAAAAAAAAAAGAGGTGAATCAGTTAGTTTTGATGGAGATAACAAGAAGTAGCAACGAGCTACTTAAAAAGTTATTAAAAGAATACACTTTCCCTCAAAACTATACCTTAAGTTTATTTTTTATTCCCTTTCCCTAGTGTGGTATTTTCATTAACAGTGGAAAAGCCAACCATGAAGTCCCAGAGACAAGCTTCCTTTCAGTTTCTTAATTCAACTCAAACATACACTGAGGCTAATGTACCTGGCAGAGTGGAGGAGATGGAGAAGAGGCCTTCACAAAAGGGTAGGAAAATCTGCAGGAGAGGATAGGCATAATTAGTGACCTCTCAGCAAGGCAGACCCCCAGCCAGTCACAGGGAAGTTCTCTTCATATCCTGATGTGTCATGACTAAGCCTGTCTCTGGAACTATTAAGCTGGTTCCCCACTGGGTCCCTGTTCGCCTCAATGAAGGTGCTCAAAAGCAAGTTCCACCAAGAGCAAGCAGCTGAGAGATGAAGGAGAAGCTAAAGATGCTGTTCATCCGTAAGCCAGATGAGCAATACTAGAATATTTAATATTCAGTCTCAGCCATTTTTCCAAAAATAATAATATCAGAAAGGAAATTGTCTTCACATTTCACAGACATAAAACTTAGATTATCCTATTAGGAAGATTAAATATTGTAATGATACAATTCTTCCCAAATCAATTTCTATCTTCAAAATGCAGTCCCCAAAAATTCCCAATGGAATTTATTTTGTAACTTTGGAAAACTTACTGAAAAATACATCTGAAAAAATAAACAGTGAGGAACTATCCAAAATAATGAAAAAGATGAATTAAATATTGGGACAAGAGGACTTATTCTGTTATAAGAGCCAATAATTTAAATGGGTAGGTAGGTAGATGGATAGATAGATAAATATACATACATACATGCATAGATACAAAGATGCATAGGTGCATAGATAATAGATACAATCTGAGCTGGATTGTCAGTGTTCAATGTTCAAAAAAAATCTATAAAAATTGGAAGAAACTACTACTAAATATTGAATTGACCTCAGGATATGGGGAAAAAGTTTTAAACATAAAAGTAGTTGAAGAGTTTGCATCTTGGAACTAGATATCTGCACATTACATGTTCTTTATTGTCATAAAAAATAAAAATAATACCAGCCAATCACTAAAAGGGTTTGAATAATCCAGTGGAAATGCGTAGCTTGCTAACGACTGTAAACTAGCCACAAAGAGTGCAATTTCCACGTCCCTGAGAATATAACTAAAACCCAAGCTTCTCATTTGTGTTTCAAATTTGATAAAGCATTTTTATGGCATGACAGTCACAGACCAGTTGGCTATTTAGCCTTTGGGTCATGTATGGAGGATGCGAGTTGTAGGATTCCTACTCTGTAGTAATGTTAGACACCTGAAGGTAAGCAGAGCTTAAGGGCAAGGCAGGAGAACCTCCTCCCACTGAGGAGGAAGGCCTGAGACAAGGTGAGGGAGTGGGAGTGGAGGCTACTTCCCAGAGGAGGGCAGTGTGTAGGTCAAGCTGGCGGCAGAGCAGGGAGTTGAGAAACAGGGAAGACGAGTGCAGCAAGGGAGGCAGAGCAGGACCTCAGGGAAGGAGGCAGAGGGCCAGCTTAAGCTTTCGGGCCTTTATTCACCGTCAATGGACAGGCTCTGCTGGTTGTAGAGGGTAGAGCCAGGGTGGAAGTGAAATTATGAGGGTTTCCTCCAGAGTCCTTTTCCAGTATTTTCCCTCACCTTCTTCTGTTACCTGTCTTGTTTTGGCTCAAAGCAGCAATGACTTAAGAAAATCCATTTATAACTATCAGCATTTTCAATGATCCAGCAAGATACTTCTCTGCTTTATTTTAAAGATCTTGGATGATGACTTTTATCAATGGCCTAAATATACAGCCCTTGAATAATATGCTCTATTCTCTGGAACACTATTATCTTCTGTCACAAATGCAGTATTTCTCTTCCTGTTCAGTATATTCACTAAGATTTTACATATATTTTATCATGTTCATCTTTTTATTTTATAACTTACTTCCCCCGCTCCCCAATCCTTAATCCTAAATATCTAGGACTTAAAGTTTGCATAGTTATCTTTCCTACCAACCATACATGTCCTTCTCTCCCCTTTCTCTTTCTATAGCCTCACTTATATAGCTTTACATTCTTAAGTGAGATTAGATGTGCACAAATATATATATATACACACACATTTTATCTTTTCAGATTTCTTTTCTATTTGGATCTCTGCCAACCCTATATCCCCATTTTACATTTCAGTGAATTAATTCAGGGGCTGAAATTGTTCTCCCTGGTGTTTTATGTCTTCTGTCTAGCTCAAATTCACTAGTGAAGTATAAAAACTTTATCTTGTCCTTTAAAAAAGAAGAATTGGTGGGTGATGCAAAGCATGTTTAGGAACCAAGGCAGCAGTAAACAAGATAGGCAGCAACCTGCTACCTTCTAGGGATCAGCTCTGTGGGGTGTCCCTAGTCCCTGCTAGGAAGTGGTCTCCCCTGCATTCCCCACCTTCCATCTAAGGCACTTGCTGGCCTTAGATGTTCCTTCAGTGATTCGTGATTTAGGAAATCCCTTCTCAACCTTCCCACACTGCTTCAACCCTTCGTTCCTATCAAGCGAAGAATTTGTGGTCTACCGTTTTTCTCTTTATCGTGGTGGATAATTCAAATACTACACAAAGGTGTAAAGAAAAGACTATAATATTAATGAAAATTGATTTTAAAGAATTAACCCAGCCTCTCTGTCACTCATCAATATGTCCAATTGTCAGCTGGACTTTACTTTTATAAACATGGTTACAATTGCTACCATCAAAAATACTTTGCATAAGTACAGCTAATGTAGCTGTAGGGCAATATTTAGTGTAACAGCTGGTCTTAAACAGACACAGGTATTTGAAAGAGTAGAGGCTGAAATACTAGCGTATCAAGGGTTGCCTCTCTTTCATAATCCCAAATGGATTCCTGGCTTGGTAATTAAAGAAAATAATATATTTTACCTGATCTTAAACCTTCATTTTCCCTGAATTAAATAGACAATTTTCTTCTCAGTCTGAAGGAAAGTCCTGCAGTTTCCAACCTATTGTAAACGACGTATGTTGGTCTTTACATGCTCAAAAATAGGCACACGCAGGCTGAAAGAGCCAATGGAAAGACCCAGAATTCTTATTTCTGTAATCATGGTTTGGCGCAAACAGGAAGCTATAGAAGTTGTGTGTGCACAGAATTCTGCTTTTGGAATAAAGCAGCTCAGACGACAAAAGAAAGACATCAATGTGTAGAAGCCAATATAATTTAGATTAGCTAATTCTCAAAATACATTTCCTTAAATTATTTTTGATTTAATAGCTCCCTATCTAATACCAATGAATTTCTTAATTTTCTTCTAGCATTGAAACAAACTCAAATGAGTTTGGTTGTCTTTATTCTGCTTGTGTATAAGGAAAAAACATCGTTAATTATATATTTGGATATATACACAGAAAAGTTTCCATCATGCTCACTGGAAGAGATGTCCCATCTTCAACAGCACAGAAAGGCAAAAACTAGAATTATGTCATATGTACAATTATTAATCCAGGTTGGCAATTTAGAGAGACAGTGTGGTCTAGCTGATAGAACACCAGATGGTGAGGCATGGGACCTGGTTTCTATTCCCAGTTTCTTCACTGTTAGATGTTTGGCAAGGGATTTCTCTCTGTGTCTGTCTTCCCATGTCAAAGTGTTTATAATTCCTACCCTCTTTTGTCCTCACAGGTACGATATGAAAGGCAGCCCAGAAAATGGCTAAGGATTCTCAAAAAGGTATTAATAAATATAAAGGTGTTTTCATGTTGAAGTGTTATCTGACTTTCTACCTCACTCTCATTGAGTTCCAAATGCTTCCTCACCACAGCAGGTGGGTAGCTAGTTTGCTTGTGGTTGTTGACAAGCTCGGTCATGGTAACATTGGCTCAGGCTTGAAAATAGATTTCAAAACTCTTTAGCCTTCAAATATGTATCACTTATTTACTTTGTACTATTTCCCTGATACCTTCCTAACTTAACTCCTTTCTTTTATAATAATATCCACCTTCAACAACTCAACCAGGGCAAGGAAGGCATCTTTATTTTGCAGTCAATGCTAAGTTTATTAGCTTTTGCTAAGTCTGCAGGACTGCGGTGGATACAATAGGGAATAGAGAAAGTCTAATACATCTTTCTCCATGAGAAATGATACAGTCAAATTTGGGAAGTAGACCTAACACAGATGAAACCATTAGATTAATTACTTGGTATTAACTATAAAATATAACAAGAGTTTACAGAAATAAAAACTGTAGTGGACTAAAAGGAAGGCTTCACAGAGTGTATGGAACTTGATCTGGGCAAAATTAATAGGATTTGGGTCAGAAAAGAGAACAATAGAGGGCCATTCTGGAAACTCGAAGTAAATACAGGAAGGCAGAATTAATTAAGGATTAGAGGGAAATGGGTTTCACATAGATGCTATAGCTCCATTACAGAACACCTGGTTAATTATGGAAATTTTTATGCTCATAGGTTTTAAATAACCTTTTGGAAGTTTTCAAAAGAAGAATATCCTGATGAAAGGATTGATTTGGGCAAATTAGCCATGAAATGAATATTATGCAGGATGGCCTTGGGAAGGTCTGGATGTTGGGAGACCAAGGGAAGGAGAAGTGAAGTAGAAGGAGAATATTCAACAGGCATTTTTAGAAAAGAAATGACCCTATGATTAAGATCTGGTTTAAATAGAATAAAGATGCTCAGAAGAAAGAATGGGCATGAGTACCAAGAATTCCAAGATAGGAAGAATAGCCTTCCCACATCGGGGGTACGATATTTTAGTTAATAGCATGAGGGGTTGAGTAATCATAGATACATGGAGAACCAAACTGATGGGTTTAGTGAGAAAACATGACAATTGGCATATTCAGAGAGGGACATTCCAAGGGAAGTGTTCATCTGAGGAATGGTCCTATGTAATAGTCTGGAAAGGAACCACACAAGAATGAAGTGATCAGCATAAAGCAGACAGGGATTTGCAGTCACTGTGAGATGCAGGAATCTAATGTGAAGTCATTTGGGGGTGTATTAGTCAGGGTTCCCTAGAAGGACAGAACTAATAGGATATATATATATATGTGTGTGTATGTGTATATATATACACACATATATATACATATATGTGTACATATATGTATATATATACACACACATATATATGCACATATATATACACACACATATATACACATAGATATGCATATATATACACATATATATACAGAACTAATAGGATATATATATCATATATAAGGATATATATAGGATATATATAGGATATATATATCCTATATATAAGGATATATATAGGATATATATATCATATATAAGGATATATATAGGATATATATATCATATATAAGGATATATATAGGATATATATATCATATATAAGGATATATATAGGATATATATATCATATATAAGGATATATATAGGATATATATATCATATATAAGGATATATATAGGATATATATATCATATATAAGGATATATATAGGATATATATATCATATATAAGGATATATATAGGATATATATATCATATATAAGGATATATATAGGATATATATATCATATATAAGGATATATATAGGATATATATATCATATATAAGGATATATATAGGATATATATATCATATATAGGATACATATAAACTAATATATAAACTATATATTATAAACTAATACATCTATATTATAAACTAATATATACTAATATATAAACTAATATGATATATAAACTAATAAGATATAAACTAATATATATATGATATATATATAAACTAATAGGATATATATATATGAGCTAATAGGATATATACATATTATATATATAATATATATAAAGTAGAGTTATTAAGTATTAGCTTACATGATCTCAAAGTCCAACAATAGGCCTCCTGCAAGCTTGGAGGAGCAAGGAGAGCCAGTTCAAGTCTCAAAACTGAAGAACCTGGAATCTGATATTTGAGGGCAGGAAGCATCCAGCATGGGAGAAAGATGTAGGCTGGGAGGCTAGGCTAGCCTCACCTTTTCACGTTTTTCTGCCTCCTTTATATTCGCTGGTAGCTGATTAGATTGTGCCCACCAGATTAAGGGTGGGTCTGCCTTCCCCAGCCCACTGGCTCAAATGTTAATCTCCTTTGGCAATACCCTTGCAGACACACCCAGGATCAATGCTTTGCATCCTTCAATCCAATCAAGTTGATGCTCAGTATTAACCATCACAAGTCTACCCCTTGTCAACTTGAACCCATATACATCTGAGATCATACATAGTCTTCAAATAAAGACAATCATAAGGTCATAATTTAGCTAATGTAATACAAATATCCTTTGTACAACCAGAAATGAACCAACCCCCAACCCAAATACTATTACATAAAGTTAACAATACTTAAATGCGGATATGAAGTCAATAAATCTTATGTCACATGGTAAAGGAAAAATAAATAAAATGAAGATACTTTCTTAGTACAAGCACATACATGCACAAACATGTTTTTAACAAAAGAAGGAGGAAATACTCATGACTGTTACAGTCCTCATTTCTGCAGCTGGTCATGTGGTCGTCACTGGTTTTGATGACTACCTTATTCTACTACCCATTCTGTATTCCCAGCAAGCACCTCAACAGGTCGTGGTGTTTTTCCTGGTGGAGTGACCCAAACCTTCATTCCTGAGGGGTCTGGATCATTTGTAGTCCTGCCTGGATTGGGCTGTTTTAGTTTCCTATTGACCTTAATCACAAGGTATGGTAATACTAAGAGACACCCTAATGGATCTCCTGTATTCCATGCATACTCTTCCTTACCTCCATTATGGAGTAGTAGACTGATTTCATCTTGATAGTCCAGGTCAATCACCCCAGCCAACACTGTAACTCCCTTCTTAGCCTGTTGACTTAAAGGTAGGAGGAGCCCAAAGTGTCCAGGTGGCAATCTTAATTTCCAGTGTCTCCTGGTGGCAGTGTTCCTCCCTCTGGAACTAAGACCGCTAGGCCAGCAGAACAGGAAGTAAAAATTTTGCTAGTGGATCACTAAGGGTGATGGTGAATGGTACCACTTCCACTTCCACCCCTTGATTCCTGGACCAGTGAATCCTGGCTATGGGAGAAACAGTATCATATGTTGGATGCTGATTCAGAGCATACATGGCCTTCTGGAGAGCTTTTCCCCAGCCCTGCAAAGTATTGTTACCTAGTTGGCATCATAATGTGACTTCAAAAGGCCATTCCACCATTCTATCAATCCAGCTGCTTCAGGATGGTGGGGGACATGGTAAGACCGTGAATTTCATGAGCACGAGCCCATTGCCACACTTCTTTAGCTGTGAGGTGAGTGCCTTGATCAGAAGCAATGCTGTGTGGAATACCATGATGTTGGATAGGCATGCCGTGAGTCCATGGATGGTACTCTTAGCAGAGGCATTGCGTGCAGGATAGGCAAACACATATCTTGAGTAAGTGTATATTCCAGTGATGACAATCCTCTGCCCTTTCCATGATGGAAGAGGTCCAATATAATCAACCTGCCACCAGGTAGCTGGCTGATCACCCTGAGGAATGGTGCCATATCGAGGACTCAGTTAGTCTCTGCTGCTGGCAAATTGGGCACTCAGCAGTGGCCAAAGCCAGGTCAGCCTTAGTGAGTGGAAGTCCATGTTGCTAACCCCTTGCATAACCTCCATCCCTGCCACCAGAGCCACTTTGTTCATGGGCCTATTGGGCGATGACAGGGGTGTCTATGGAAAAAGGCTGAGTGGTGTCCACAGAACAAGTCATCCTATCTACTTGATTATTAAAATCCTCCTCTGCTGAGGTCACCCACTGGCGAGCACTCACATGGGATACAAATATCTTCACAGTTTTTGACCACTCAGAGAGGTCCATCCACATACCCCTTCCTCAAATTTCTTTGTCACCAATTTTCCAATCATGCTTCTTCGAAGTTCCTGACCATCCAGCCAAACCATTGGCTACAGCCCGTGAATCAGTGTATAATTGCACATCTGGCCATTTCTCCTTCCATGCACAGTGCACAACCAGGTGCACTGCTCAAAGTTCTGCCCATTGGGAAGATTTCCCTTCACTGATGTCCTTCAGGGATGTCCTAGAAAGGAGCTATAGTGCGCAGCTGTCCACTTTTGGTTGGTGCCTGCATATTGTGCAGAACCACCTGTGAACCAGGCCCTAGTCTCCTCTTCCTCTGGCAGCTGATCATAGGGAATCCCCCATTAGCCATCAGTGCAGGCTGGTAAAGAGAAGGCAGGGTGGCAGGAGTGGAGAGCATGGGCATTTGAGCCACGTCCTCATGTAACTTGTGCCTTCATGACCTGCTCAAGCCCGATCACGTATATACCACTTTCATTTGATGATGGAATACTGCTGTGCATGACCCACTTCATGGTTAGGTGAATCAGAAAGCACCCAGTTCATAAGAGGCAGTTCAGGTCGCATAGTGACTTGATGACCCATACTCAAACATTCAATTTCCACCAAAGCCCAGTAACAGGCCAAGAGCTGTCTCTCAACAGGAGAGTAGTTATCTGCAGAATATGGCCAGGCCTTGCTCCAAAGTCCTAGAGGTCTCCGCTGTGATTCACCTATGCGGGCCTGCCAAAGGCTCCAAACAGCATCCCTATCTGCCACTGACACCTCAAGCACCATTGGATCTGCTAGGTCATATGGCCCAAGTGGCAGAGCAGCTAGCACAGCTACTGGACCTATTGCAGGGCCTTCTCCTGTTTGTGGCCCCACTCAAAACTGGCAGCCGTTTGGGTCACTCGATAAATGGGCCAGAGTAACATACTCAAATGAGGATTGTGTTGCCTCCAAAATTCAAATAGGCCCGCTAGGCTTTGTGTCTCTTTCTTGGCTGTAGGAGGACCCAAATGCAGCAACTTATCCTTCACCTTAGGAGGAATAACTCAACAAGACCCACACCACTGAACCCCTAGAAATTTTACCGAGGTAAAAGGTCCCTGCATTTTAGTTGGATTTATTTCGCATCCTCTGGCATGCAAATGTCTCACCAATAAGTCCAGGGTGTTTGCTACTTCTTGTTCACTGGATCCAATCAGCATAATGTCATCAATGTAATCAACCAGTGAGATACCTTGTGGAAGGAAAAAGCGATCATGGTCTCTCAGAATAAGATTGTGACACAAAGCCAGAGAGCTGACATACCCCTGAGGTAGGACAGTAAAGGTATATTGCTGGCCTTGCCGGCTGAAGGCAAATTGCTTCTGGTGGGCATTATGGATAGGAATGGAGAAAATGGCATTTGCCCAGTCAAAGGCTGCATACCAGTTACCAGGAGATGTGTTAATTTGTTCAGGCAATGAAACCACCTCTGATACAGCATCTGCAATTGGAGTCACACTTGGTTAAGCTTATGATAATCCACTGTCATTCTCCAAGATCCATCTGTCTTCTGCACAAGCCGAATGGGAGAGTTGAACAGGGATATGGTGGAAATCATCACCCCTGCGTCTTTCAAGTCCTTGATGGTGGTACTAATCTCTGCAGTTCCCCCAGGGATGCGATATTGTTTTTGATTTACTATTTTTCTAGGTAGAGACAGCTCTAATGGCTTCCATTTGGCCTTTCCCACCATGACAGCCCTCACCCTACCAGTCAGGGAGCCAATGTGGGGGTTCTGGCCAGCTGCTAAGAATGTCTATGCTAATTATGCATTCTGGCACTGGGGAAATGACCACAGGATGAGTCCAGGGACCAAATGGATCCAGTGGAAGTTGGACCTGAGCTAAAACTCCATCAATTACCTGACCTCCATAAGCCCCTACTTTAACTGGAGGACCACGATGACAGTGTGGGGTCCCTGGAATCAACATCAGCTCAGAGCTAGTGTCCAGTAGTCCCTTAAATGTCTGATTGTTTCCCTTTCCCCAGTGCACAGTTACCCTGGTAAAAGCCCAGAGGTCTCCTTGGGGAAGAATGGGAGAAAGATTCACTGCATAAACTGACAGTGATGTAGTGGAGTCCTTCCTCAAGAGGACCCAGCCTCCCCTTCATTCAAGGGGTTCTGGGTTTATAAACTGGTTCAAGTCTCGAAATTGATTGAGCGGCCATGATTCTCTGTTTTTTGTTTTGTTTTGTTTTATTATACTTTAAGTTTTAGGATACATGTGCACAACATGCAGGTTTGTTACATGTGTGTACGTGTGCCATGTTGGTGTGCTGCAGCCATTAACTCGTCATTTAGCATTAGATATATCTCCTAATGCTATCCCTCCCCCTTCCCCCCACCCCACAACAGTCCCCAGTGTGTGATGTTCCCCTTCCTGTGTCCATGTGTTCTCATTCTTCAATTCCCACCTATGAGTGAGAACATGTGGTGTTTGGTTTTTTGTCCTTGAGATAGTTTGCTGAGAATGATGGTTTCCAGCTTCATCCATGTCCCTACAAAGGACATGAACTCATCATTTTTTATGGCTGCATAGTATTCCATGGTGTATATGTGCCACATTTTCTTAATCCAGTCTATCATTGTTGGACATTTGGCTTGGTTCCAAGTCTTTGCTATTGTGAATAGTGCCGCAATAAACATACATGTGCATGTGTCTTTATAGCAGCAGGATTTATAATCCTTTCGGTATATACCCAGTAATGGGATTGCTGGGTCAAATGGTATTTCTAGTTCTAGATCCCTGAGGAATTGCCACACTGACTTCCACAATGGTTGAACTAGTTTACAGTACCACCAACAGTGTATAAGTGTTCCTATTTCTCTACATCCTCTCCAGCACCTGTTGTTTCCTGATGATCGCCATTCTAAATGGTGTGAGATGGTATCTCATTGTGGTTTTGATTTGCATTTCTCTGATAGCCAGTGATGATGAGCATTTTTTCATGTGTTTTTTGGCTGCATAAATGTCTTCTTTTGAGAAGTGTCTGTTCATATCCTTTGCCCACTTTTTGATGGGGTTGTTTGTTTTTTTTCTTGTAAATTTGTTTGAATTCATTGTAGATTCTGGATATTAGCCCTTTGTCAGATGAGTGGGTTGCAAAATTTTTCTCCCATTCTGTAGGTTGGCTGTTCACTCTGATGGTGGTTTCTTTTGCTGTGCAGAAGCTCTTTAGTTTAATTAGATCCCATTTGTCAATTTTGGCTTTTGTTGCCATTGCTTTTGGTGTTTAAGACATGAAGTCCTTGCCCATGTCTATGTCCTGAATGGTATTGCCTAGGTTTTCTTCTAGGGTTTTTATGGTTTTAGGTCTAACATTTAAGTCTTTAATCCATCTTGAATTGATTTTTGTATAAGGTGTAAGGAAGGGATCCAGTTTCAGCTTTCTACATATGGCTAGCCAGTTTTCCCAGCACCATTTATTAAACAGGGAATCCTTTCCCCATTTCTTGTTTTTTTCAGGTTTGTCAAAGATCAGATAGTTGTAGATATGAGGCATTATTTCTGAGGGCTCTGTTCTGTTCCATTGATCTATATCTCTGTTTTGGTACCAGTACCATGCTGTTTTGGTTACTGTAGCCTTGTAGTATAGTTTGAAGTCAGGTAGCGTGATGCCTCCAGCTTTGTTCTTTTAGATTCTCTGTTTTTATAATTCAAATTAGTCTTTTGTCCATTCAACCTAGAAGTTTTCTCCTTATATAAATTAAGTGTCAATGCAGTTGGCTTCCTATCAATTTTACTTCTAGGAACACTGTGATGAATTAGCCAGTGCCAGAGCCCTACAGAAGTCAGACTATTCTGATTGCTGCTTTGTCTCTGCTGTCCATTCCAGTAGCTATGCCCACCTTGTCTTTGACACTTGAGTGCTGCCACTTGGCCTCTGCCACCTTGGGATACAATTATTCCCATTGTACTTAAATTTTGTAGTTGACTGACTGTGGTTCCCACTGTTAGATCTGACTTACAGAGAAGAGCAATTACAGGGCTCTTCAAAGATGCAGGTGTTGCCCTCACAAATCTATTTTGTAAGGCATTGGTCAAGAGTATGTCTTCTGGACCCTCCCAGCTGAGATGAGTAGGTCTAAAGTGACTAACCCATTCCAGCATTCCAATCTCCCTAAGCCTTTTGATCCCTTCCTCTACATTAAGCTAACGGAGATTAGGCATTTCCAGCTCATTCACAGTGGGCCATCTTTTAATCCGTATTTCAGCTAACCAAGCAAACAAACTATTAGAACCTTTTTTAACTCCCCATGCTACAATATTAAATGCAGAATGAATCCTTACTTAGTGGGCCCAAAGCAATAAATTCAGCCTAATCCAACTCTGTGTTTCTTCCACCATTATCACATACCCTTAATATCCATTCCCATGCCTGTTCTCCAGATTGTTATTTATATAAATTAGAGAACTCAAGCAGTTCTTTTCAAGTGTAGTACACCTCCTCATGGGTCACAGTCTCAATCTCACCTCTAGGGGCCCACCAGGATTTTAGTCTAGTTATAGGTCTAGAAGCAAACAGAGGTGTTGCGGGTGGCTCCTGAGAAGAATCAACATTATTTTGCCAGGCAACTGCCTCAGGGGAGGCTGTCACTGTTGCCTCAGGCAGTGCAGGGTTTATCTCCTCAGATGAAGGTGGAAAGGCTGATGGCAGCATGGGTCCGGGAGGGGATGTTGCCACTACTGGGGATGGGGAAGCTGTTCCTTCTGGCAAAAAAGTTTCAACAGAGTTTACAAACTCAGTGTCCTCAACTTCATCAGGGTCCTCCCACACATCCCCATTCCAAGTTCCAGGGTCCCATTCTTTTCTAATCAATGCCCTTACTTTAACAGTAGATACCTGGCGAGGCTGTGCATGCACCTTTCATTGCAGGTCAGCCACTTGTGTCTGTTTTTTCACAATTTTAGCTCTTTCTCTACAGGAGATAAGACTCTCACTCAGGGCAATGTTAGCATATTTAAGGCTCATTATCTGCTTCTGAAGCCAGGAGACAGAATCCCTGAGTTCATAGTTTTCTTTCATCACTTTATCCACCAAACTTAGAAGCAACCAACCAGCTTCATTATGTTCCTTGGTTCTCCACATATGGTCAAAGATATTATTTACAAAGTCACTAAACTCCTTGTCTCTCATGAGCAGTGAATCAGGAGTGTCAAATGCATTTATTTTGCATAACTCTCTAAACAGTTCACAACGAGGACTATCAGTGTTCTCCATACTATTAGAAGGAGGGTCCTTAGCATCTTTGGGTCTAATCATATTAAGCAGCCAACCCCAGAAATCCCAAAACCAACAAAAGAACTCCATCCTTAATATTCTGTTCCTCTAGACCCACTACTGGTACCAAAAGCTGTACTAGCAAAAGACTGTTTGTCTTTTGTTCCCTAGAGAGACAGAACTAATAGGAGAATATATATATACACACACATATATGGGAGTTTACTAAGTATTAACTTACATGATCACAAGGTCCCACAATAGGCTGTCTGCAAGCTTGAGAAGCAAGGAGAGCCAGTCCAAGTCTCAAAACTGAATAACTTGGAGTCCAATGTTTGAGGGCAGGAAGCATAGGAGAAAGATGTAGACTGGGAGGCTAGGCCAGTCTTGCTTTTTCCTGTTTTTCTGCCTGCTTTATATTCTCTGGCAGCTGATTAGATTGTACGTACCAGATTAAGGGTGGGCCTGTCTTCCCCAGCCCACTGACTTAAATGTTAATCTCCTTTGTCAATGCTCTCACAAACACACCCAGGATCAATACTTTGCATCCTTTAATACAATCAAGTTGACACTCAGTATTAACCCTCACAGGGGGTAATTGCAGGGGAAAGACTCATAGGTACCTGAAAAAAGCAATCCAGAATGGAAGAGAGAGAAGAAATGTCTTTGGTTAAAATTCTCTTAATATTAGTATTGGATTCCTACTAAGTTGCTACCTTGGTTTTATTGGAGATAATTTAAATGTCCTTTAGACCTTGCCCATAAGGGACAGAGTTTATTTTGGTGTGAACACTGGCTGAACTGATTTTTTGCTGCAAGAACTAGTGAGTAGGGTCAACAGCTGGCAAGAAAATTCTATGGCCATATGATGGCCAATCATCCATCCACCCATTCGCCTATTTCTTTACTTATTCACTAAGCACTTCTTACATTCCAGAAATATACTAGTATAGGAAAACATGACACTGCTCTCATGGAGCTTCAAGTATATGGGATTCGTTTTTACAAAAGCTTAAGTAAAGATTGCTATGAAAATATGTAGCAGTGGACACTGTGCTAGCCCAGAGTTTCAGGGAATGGTTCTATGAGAAAATGTTATTTTTAGTAATTATTAGAAAAGAGGGTTAATATAAGAAGAGGAATATATAGCAAATCCTGAAACTACGATAAGAAATAAATTCTTGGTTTCTATGTGAGTCCAAAATCTCTGTGCTTAATCTCCATTAAATGCATATCTATGCATATAAGCTAGTTTCTGCAGGCAATTGACTTCAGGCAGGAGCACGGCAAGACATCTTGGAGAATCAATACGAAACAAGGCGACTTCCCAAAGTCAGAAATACAACCGCAGGAAAAGTTTAGATTCTAGGAAATACAACACAGCAGCACTGGGAATGAACAACATAGGGAAATGTGCTCTAAAGATTTTCAGAGAACTAGGATAAGGAATAGACCTTATGATTAGGGCATTCCACTTCTGTCTAAGTCCCATGATACTAGGTCAGTGCAGCCTTGCCTGGAGGCAGAATGATGGCTATCAAAATTTGTTCTAGACATGTGATAGAAAGAGCACTGGCAAAATGCATGAATATTATACTTACTTTATTTAAGGAATACTAGGCCTTTAATTTTTATTATTTCACTTTTATTCATTTTAATGTCACTTTTCTAATTACCAAAATAATATCGAAAAAAAATCACCAGCTTTTGCTAGAGTCAGCTATATCTTTGTAAATACCTGATTATATTCTTCCCTCTGCTGCGTGTGTGTGTGTGTATGTGTGTGTGTGTGTGTATGTGTGTGTGACAGAGAGAGAGAGAGAGAGAAAGACAGAGAATAGCACATTTCATATTTGAGATGTTGCTATATATACTGATTTACACTTCTTGAGTATATTTTGGTAATCATAATTGGGGAAGAGAAAAATATAGTATCTTAGCAGCTGTCATTTGAGTTCCTTTTAAAGAGAATCTACTGTCTATTGGAAAATTACCTTGATGAGCCACTGGTATAGAAGATGAGATCTGGAAGATATGGGTGTTAGCAGAAGCCAAGATTTTTAGATATATGCATAATAAAATGAAAGTATTATTGTCCTATGCAGTGCAGAAAGAAAAAAGCCAGAGCATAGAGAAGGAAGAGGTAAGAGAGAGAAGTTAAAGAGATGTTGGGACAAGGATATGAAAAAATGCTCAATATCACTGATCATTACAGAAATGCAAATCAAAACCACAATGAGATACCATCTCACACCAGTCAGAATGGCTATTATTAAAAGTCAAAAAATAACAAATGTTGGCCAGGTTGCAGAGAAAAGAGAACAATTATACACTGTTGGTGCGAGTATAAGTTAGTTCAACCATTATGGAAAGCAGTATGGTGATTCCTCCAAGAACTAAAAACAGAATTCCCATTTGCCCCATCAATCCCATTACTGGGTATATACCCAGAGGAATATAAATCATTGTACCATAAAGACACATGGATAGGAATTCACAATAGCAAAGACATGATGTATTAGTCCATTCTCATGCTGCTAATAGTGACATACCAAGACTGGGTAATTTATAAAGGAAAGAGGTTTAATTGACTCACAGTTCCGCAAGGCTGGGGAGGCCTCAGGAAACTTACAATCATGGTGGAAGGGGAAGCAAACATGTTCTTTGCATGACAGCAACAAGGAGAAGTGCAGGGGAACTGCCCTTTATAAAACCATCAGATCTCATGAGACTTACTCACTATCACGAGAACAGCATGGAAACACCCACCCCTATGATTCAAGGAACTCCCACCAGGTCACTTCCATGACAAGTGGGAATTATGAGAGCTACAATTCAGGATGAGATTTGGGTGGGAACATAGTCAAACCATATCACATGAAATCAGCCTAAATGCCCATCAGTGACAGGTTGGATATAGAAAGTGTGGTACATATACACCATGGAATACTATACAACCATAAAACAATTAGATCATGTCTTTTGAGGGAACATGGATGGAGCTGGAGGCCATTATCCTTAGCAAACTAATACAGGAACAGAAAACCAAATAGCACATGTTCTCACTTATAAGTGGGAGCTAAATGATAATAACTTAAGAACATAAAGAAGAAAATAACAGACACTGGGGTCTACTTGAGGGTGGAGGATGGGAGGAGAGAGAGGAGCAGAAAAGATAACTATTGAGTACTGGGCTTAATACATGGCTGATGAAATAATATATACAACAAACCCCTGTGACACAAGTTTACGTATGTAACAAACCTTCACATGCACCCCGAACCAAAAATAAGTGGTTTTTTTTAACATTGAGTGTATTAGCTCTTTTTCATGCTGCTATGAAGAAATACCAGAGACTGAATAACTTATAAAGAAAAGAGGTTTAATTGACTCACAGTTCCTCGTGGCTGGAGAGGCATCAGGAAACTTACAATCATGGTGGAAGGCACCTCTTCACAGGGTGGCAGGGGAGATAATAAGTTTGAGCATGGGAAATGCCAGATGCTTATAAAACCATTAGATCTCGTGAGACTCACTCATTAATACGAGAACAGCATGGGGGAATCTGCCCGCATGATTCAATTACCTCCACCTGGTCCCTCTCACAGCCTGTGGAGATTATGGGGATTACAATTCAAGATGAGATTTGGGTGGCAACACAGCCAAACCGTATCATTGAGAAACTAAAGCTATGTTAAGAAAACAGCTAAGGAAAGTTCCCCAGTGATGTGGTTGTCAAGTGGCATTTATGCCTATTATTTTGTTTAAGGATATTCAACTTGATCATCCAATTTCAGCAAAATCTTCTATACTTCAGAATACCCTGCAAATGTGATTTCAATTTTTTGGTAGAAACTGAAGGGGGGATAAATTTTACATCTGAGTCAACATGGTAAAGAAGAGAGTCAGCAGGGGACCCAAGGACAGATGTGAACAGAGAAATTGAGTTACCCAGAAATGTTCAGAAGTATTTGAAAAGGCTTTGTGCTGTCATAGGATTTAGACAAGGGAGTTCCACCAGAGTATCTACATCTCCATAGGACAAGAGAACTCACTTGCCTTTCAGTTAGGCTTATTTTCCTAAAACATTGTCTATTTTATTGAAATATTCACACTTATTTAAATTTGTCATATTATATTCTTTTAGAATTTCAAAATATCTCATCTATTATGATATGTTTTTGTCATACATAATATCCTATATTTATATTTTCTATCATTTTTATTCATAGTTTGATGTCTTCCAAAAGACCAAAATCTTGGATTACTTGATCTATTCTCATGATTTTTGGTTTCTAATTCATTAATTTATAACTGTATTTTAATTATTTATGCATATGTTGGCCTTACAAATTTTTAAGATGTGTCAAAATATAGAGCATAAAATAATGTATACTCGTCTACCATCCTAACTTAAAAATAATGCTCTTACTTTCTCGAATTACCTTTTTATATCTTTTTGCCTATTTTCTGTTGGGTTGTTTGTCTTTTGTTACTGATTTTAAGAGTCTTCATATTTCTGGAACTTCCTTCTGTTATGTTGGTTATATTTGTTGCAAAAAAAAACTTTTCTAAGCCCGTCTTTTGTCTTTGGCTTTTTTAAAAATGGTGCTTTGTGATGTATATAAAATTTTAATATGAATGTGATCAGAGTTGTTAATTATTTCTTTATAAAATTATTTTAGGTTTGTAAAAGAAATCCTTCTTGGCCCCTATGGTCATGAAGATATTTTCCAATATTTTATTCTTCTCTTGTTTCCATTACATTTATTTGGTTGAATTTATAAGTTTTGTATTTGTGGTGAGAGTAGTTCTTACACTTTTCTTGATTGATTAAAAAATTCGATTCATAAATGTTCTGTCTACATCCCATTTGTTTATATATACAATATTGTCATTTTTCCCTAAATATTCTGTACATACAGCTTTTATTTCTTACTTGTTCCTGAAACTATTTAATCAAACTACTTTGTTTAAAATTTTGTCAGTGATTTGTTTTAATTTAATAATGCCATCAGGATCCATCTAGGTATTGATTATTATCAGTTTTTTTCTTATACAAATGGTATCATTCTATTTGTGGAATCTTTTGTCTTAGGAAATTTCCTGTAAACTTGCTTTTAGGATTGTTTGTATAGTAATGTTTACCAGTGATCTGTATGCTGGTGCTTCACTTCTGACTTTTAGATCTACCATCTTCTCTCCCATTTGGTCCTTCTGTTCCTATTCTCTGTCTCTATTTTGGGAAAGCTTTTCTTTTACTCCTTTTACAACAAAACTTTATTTTTCTGCAGTGTCATTTCTGTCTTATTCTGAACCTGGCCTTAATTTTGTGATTATACTTATGTTTTTACAATTTTTCCTTAGGCCATTCAATTTTTTTGTCATTTTTGTTGCGGTCTTACCATCCCATCCTTTTTCTTTTGTTTCATAGCATACAGATTTCCACAAATATTTTCAAGAGGACAAAGATTTCTAACATGCACTCCTTTTGAAGTTAAAAAAAAATCCTTTGTATCTTACATGGTAAGTCTGTTTTCATCTTGAAACATGTGGAGACTTTTCATAGACTTCACATGTTCTTTTCTTTATTTATAAGAAGCATAGTCCGGTATGGATTACTAAGGGTTATTCAGGGTTCCCCATGTTGACCTCCTGATTCTTTCAGAATCTTCTCATATAATGGGCTAAGAACTAGTTAACATTCTCCAGCCCTAATATTGGCAGTCTTTTATTTAGAATGGATCTGTTGGACAGGGAAGGAGGTCTCCTACACCATCTGCCACGTCATTAAATAATCAGGAGTTGTAGAGTTTATTCTTTGATAATCAAGCATAAGTATAGTGATTTAATTGCCCAAATCAGAAAATGAGAAACTAATTTCCAGAATTGATTATGCCCCTGGTTCTTCCATTCGGACTGCTTGACTTACAATCCCTTCGTGTAAAGACTCTATTATTCTGTAATTCTGCCTTTAATTGCTACGTATTTCTTCTAATAGTAAAAAAGGAGAGGTAACAATAGGTTACCTTGTAAAGTTCCTCCCAGGCAAGTAGGTGGTGAATTCTCTTCCTCAGTTTCATGTCCTTGCCTGGGAAATTGGGGTTTCCAGCAGGAGCGCTTGGCTAGAAATCAATGATCAATTTTCCTGCACTGTTCAACATATCTGTCTGAGAGATTTTATCCAAGCTTTGGATATTAAGAATTTCTAATATCCAGTATTTGAAGGGTCATATCCTTTATTTCTTATCTAAGTTGTGGTTAAGCATTTGCATTTATCTTTTTGTGTGTGTTTTAATAGCATATTGAAAGACAGAGAATTGGTCATCTTAGACTTCTGGCAAAATTAGAGTGTTTGCTATTTGGTCTCAGGTCCCCTTTACACTCTTAGCAAATATTAAGAGCCCAAAAGAATCTTTGTTTACATGGTTCATATCAATCAATACTTGCCATCTTGGAAATTAGAAATGATACATATTTAAAATGCATATTTATTAGTTCACCTAAAATAACAATAAACCCACTATATGTTAACATAAACAACACACTTTTATTTTTAAAAATCTATACTTTCCAAAATAGACAAAAGCCTAGTGAGAATAATGGTATTGTTTCACCCTTTTGCAGAACTCTTTCATGACTAATTGAATGGAAGACAGTTCGATTCTTCTACATTCAATCTGTTGTTTTTAAGTTACTTTAATTAATGTATATAAAACAAATCTGTGTTTATAAATACTTAATGCAAAAGTAAACCCCTTCCCAAGGGATCCTTGGACCACACTGAAAAAAACATTTGAAAATGTGCTTTTTCATGTTGACATACCTCTGTGCAACACAGATAATCTGATTACAGAAGAATAATTTAGAAGGATCAAGTGACTTGCCTGACCAGTAATTAGTAAAAGCAAAACTTGAACTCAGGGGATCTGAATACAAAACTTTTCTTTCCTGCATCTAAGCTTCATCTAATCAAGAAATGAATCAGGCTCCAGCCATCTTGCTATTATATATTTTATGTTTGCATGACTCCATGTAACTAGATGAAAGGAGAGTGTCTCATATTTAAATTAATCTCAGGTTTCAGAAACAAGATTCAATACTGCATGATGTTCATCTTAGACATACAAAAAGTACAAATCTTTCACTTGTTCTAAATCATCGAATTACAGCAGAAGGAAGGAGAGTCAACGTGCAAGCTCCTTGAGGAGGGAAAACCTGTTCACTCTCCATTTGGTTCACCTTGTGCCTAGTGCATAGCATATACCCTGACAGTCAGATGTTTAACAGGGAATTATCAAGAATAAAAAAATTATTATCACTGTGTCCACAATTAGGAAAGTTTTCAATTATCCTAGGAAGGAAAAAGCACAGGAATTGCCTTCAGTTAAGGAAAGGCACAGATGGTGAGATGGGATTTTGGAGCTAGATCACTCATCAGCTGGCTGGCAATGAATACCCAATAACGGGATTAGGAATAGCTATTGGTGTAAGGTAACATGGCAATTGTTAAACCTTTCACTAAAGGTGAACTGGAATGGTACAGCTGTGGAGGAAAGTGCACAGGCAGGTGCAGGTGCAATGTGTCAAGTCTTTCAGAAAAGAAATGGGGAAATGGTAATGATAAAGATAATAGAATTGAATGGCAACTGCTGGGGACAATTAATGTTCTGGTGAAAGATGACAAAGGCTAAAGGTGATTACTCATCAATTACAAGCTAAGTGTGAACACTAGAGGGCCTCCAAGGCAGCATATAAAGGCTTTCATTTTCTAGAGCAAAGATAAAGAAAGCTGAGGACCAAGCAGTTTCCAAAGTTGGTAAATTCTCAACCTAGTCAGGTCCTCTATGCTAAGGGTAGAGGCCTAATGGGAAAGAATGGGACCTAGAAACATGGGATGGGGACATTTGGGGTGATGAACTAAAATATCTCAAATCTCCTAATTCTATTAAGCCCTCTGAGCCTGCGTAAGTAGCTCACGCCTCCCTATAAAGACTCCATACTTTTCTCATCACTTGCAGACAATGCAGAGACCCCTTCACTACAAGACAAGAGGCGCCCCTCTCAGGATCTGCCACTATGTACTCCCCTTGGCTCCAGGCCAACACATAGCGTTAAGGTGCAGCATAAGACAACTAGAGAAGTGTTGGGCTTGCCAAGGAAGGAAAGTGAATATGCACACATGGAGTCAATTTGCACCAGAAGGAAACTGGGGAGTACTACATGCCTGGATTCTAAAGGTATTTGATTAAGGAGAGGTGGGATAGAATATAAAAAAGGACAAGAGAGCATTTACTATTAAAGCCCTCTCCAAGGATATAGGATGTGATACCCTGGCAAGAATCTTGGACAAAGTATAAATGTTCTGCTGGGATAGCTTGTGAAACTTGGAGAAAGCAGTGACCTAAATGAAATGAACTTGAAATGCCAGAAATATCATGGCAGGCAGTAAAAGTAGGGAGCAAAAGGGTTAGGAAAGTTGGCATGCAAGAACATATATACTGTGTAAGTCTAGGAAATACACCAGATGAATACATCCTATGGGAAGGCCTGGAGGGCATGGCAATTACCAAAGTGAGTGAGATGGGTACCCACATCACTGAGAAGTTCAGAAGAGGCATTCTCCTGTAAATTAAGGCTGATAGTAGGAGATGCTGTTGTGGAACTGGACTCAATAATGGCTATGTGGATGATAGGCTTCCTCCTTCCATCTATCCAAAGTGGCCACCATTTAACCATAGGAGGCAAGACGGGCCCAATTATCAAATGAAGTGGCAAAGGCAGAGTAGCATTCAGGGACTTGATCCATGGAAAGCTATAAAGATGATTAATAGAACATGGTATTCTCAGGGGCAAAATAAATGTATAGCCTGCAGTGATGTAAAATCTACAAACAAAATAGTTCAGGAAAAGATAATCAAGAGACTGAGGGCCACTACTACAATAAAAAGTCACAAGCCCTGTCCATTTTCCACATTTACCCCAGTTTTGCAACACAGAACCCACTGACTTAAAGAGAGGTGAGTTTTCCAGAGGGAACAGACCTGCAATACTATGGCAAATGCCTATGGTAAAAATTACCCTGATTCATTTCTTGATTAGATGCAGCTTAGATGTCCTTTACTTAGGTAATTATAAACTGTGGAAAGAGAATTTTGAGAACAATTGAATACATTAGGCACTGATACTTGATCATCCGAACATCGGGGCCTCCCTGTTAGAGTAAGGGCACTCAGAGTGGGTAGAACTCAGGTAATAAATTATAATCCTGGCTGAGATCCAGCTTACAAAAATCCAATAGGTTCACAGACCCACCATCAACCATTTCATTAGTAAAATATGATTGATTGGATATAAGTGGTAGTTTGCCCACCCTACTCCCAACCTTGGTTGATTGGACTGTGGGGTAAGAGATATCATTCTATAGAAAATCAAGTGGAAACCAAGAAGACTCAGTCAAAATAGTCAAAAACAAGACCACATTCCTGGTGAATGGGCAGAGATTAGCGTCATTCTTAACCACCTAAAAGATGCAGAAGATATAGCCCTTAATATATCTCCAACAAATTTATCAGTCTGCTCCCTACAAAAGTGAAATGTTTCCTAGAAGAGGATACTAGACCACTACAACCTCACCCAAACATTGGCCCCAAGATTCTGTGCTAGATGCACTATCCCTGCTAGGGCAGATTAGCATGGCTTTGCTCATGCAGGTAACTTCAAATCTTATAAATTTATCACTCTCCATTTTTATCAGAAAGGGTGTAAGGAACATGGTTGTGCTGCAGCCAAGCAGGCATAGGGCAGCAGGCATAGGCTGAGGTAAACAGCCTGGATGACTCAGCAGGTTTGTGACACAGGCGCACAGTCCCATGTCTTATATAATCATAGCCATGTAGACATAACATAGAGAAGTTCCCCACCTGGCTCTCAGCCACTATTGTTTGTATAGTGTAGAAATGTAACACTGATCCTGTGAAAAGGCTGCTGAATAAAGCCATGTCTCATCTACCTGCTGTCTCTCGAATGTTCTTCCAGCTCCCTGTCCCACGACCAGCCACTCCCCTCAGCCCTCAGCTGGGGACGGAACCTGACCCTGAGCATGACAAAGGGGAATCAGAATCAATTCATGTTCACTCAGAAGGATCAAGAGTGAATAGTCTTGCCCAAGACTATGATATCTATCTTGACTTCTGTCATGTTATCAGACAGATCACTTTGATCAACTACATTGATGATTTTATACTAATTAAACCAGATACACAAGAAGTTTGCAAGTGCTTTGGAGGCTTTAATAATACATAGAAACTACAGAAAGAGGAGCCCCTTCTTAGGAAGAGTTAGGGGTCTGACGCAGCAGTAAACTTTTTAAAAGTCCAGTGGTCTGGGGCATGCCAGGATATGCCTTCTAAAGTAAAAGACAAATTCAAATTATTGCATCTCATGTGCCCTACCACAGAGAAGAATGCACAACAGCTGGTGGATGTCTTCAGGTGTTAAGAGGGAGCATGTTCCACACCTGGGCATAGTTCTCCAGCCTAGATATCAGATGTAAGGAAAGTCTGACAGCTTTGAATAGGACACAGCTGGAAAGGGTTCTGCAGCAGGTCCAAGCTGAATTTATGACCTTATTTCCCAGCAGATACGATCAAATAGGAGACACATGGTGTGAGAAAAGATGCATGAGATGGAAGTGTGAGAGACCCCACTTAACATCCCTCCAAGTGACCCACTACGTGGATCTGAGCTGCCCCTCCCCCAACTCTAGATACTGTGGGGATAGAGGTCCTGGTTCTCAAAGAACACATCCACCTAGGGACACAGCAGAAGTCCCGTTGAACCTTAAGTTACAGCCATTGCCCACACACTTACGGCCCTCCATGCCAACAGACCACAGCCAAGAAGACAAGTCACCATTTCTGGAAAGAGTAATTGGCCCTAACCATCAGGAGAAAGTAGAAATCCTGTTACACAGTGGGGGCATAGTGGAATAGGGTTGGCACCCAGGTGATTCCTTTTGATGTGTCTACTTATGCTCACTCAGTTTTTGTGATTCATGAACAAATGATATGCCATGGCCTGAGAAGGGCATGATGGTTATGGGCTCAGATTCCTAAGACCCCGAAGGTCTGTTTCAGAGCCACCCGAGAATGGAAGATGTGCTAGCTGAGAATGAGCAGCATGCAGAATGGATAGTAGAGGGAAAAGCTGATGAGTGACAGTTGTGGCTACAAGTTCAGCTCAGGTGTTGAGAAGCTGTTTGTCCCACTCGCCTTCATCTAAGGTTCTCCCAGGACAAGAGGTCCACCAGAATTTGCTGCTCTCAGAGTCTACACAAAGAATTGGATCGGGACATCATAAGGGGTGGTCCGTAGTGGGCGCTCTGATGCACCACTTTGATCTCCCTTTAGTACTAAGGGACATAATCCTTATGCTTCTGGGAGTGCTGTGGGATGACAGATCCCAGCTGCCAGCCTCACAGGAATTACACTCACCTGGGGAGCTACCTTGCCAAGGCCACACTCCTCCCTGGGAGAAGCCTGTAGCCAATGAATGGTATGAATGGCCGACACTGTGGTATAAAGCTCAGCTGACTCTCTTAAACCGGGAATAACATTGAAGGGCCATCCCAGCTGTAGAGCCCTATATGGGTTTAACGAAGAGCTTTGCTGAAATGTCAACATAGCCCAGCTCCTCCCTCTGCCCCATCTTGTCTTCTTTTCTTCTGCCACAGCGCTTGATCCTACACGTAGTTCCTAATTTCTGCACATTAATCTCTATTTCAGAGTCTACTTCCCTGGAAAGATGACCTGCTGACCTGCATGACCTACAACATGCACCTAGCAATCATTTATGTATTTGATATATTTTTTAATTTGAGCAACTATTATGTGCCTGGCATTCTGTATGGTAAGGGCAATGATTCAGAATGCAAGCATGAAACATGAACTTATAAACAATTTACAACCAAGTTAGAGAAGTGCTGTATATACACAGAGAATAAGGCAATGCCACATAAAATAATATCAAACACTGGAATGACAGGAAGATAATTGTGACCAGGAGCTCAGCCCTCTCAGACATGAGGGTCTGGGTCACATCACCAAAGGAGCTGCTTGGTAAGGATGAGAAGAGAGTTTGATTGTACACAATGAGTTCCTAATTGCATAGCAAAGCAGCAAGCAAAAAATGATTCTTTTTCTGGGAAGATATGGACTGTTATGCAGTTACCTTAGCAGAGCCTGCTGTTATCCCCAGCTATTTGTGACTGTGTGGGTGAGTCTGTCCATTTTATAGGTAAAATATTAGCAAGTTCATCTTGACACTTATCCTCCCACACACTTTTTAAAAACTCCACCTTATCCAGCCTGCCTTCATCAGTTAAAAAAAGAAAAAGCTGACATTTTAACTCTCCATTTACTTACTCTCTAATTGGTTCTAACCTCTGATTCAGTGGAGCTGGTGATGGCAATTATTAACTCCCTATGATCCCAGCTGACTGTTAAAAAAATGTAGCCCGATTTCTGAGAATCTGGTCATCATTAGGGGAGAAACCGATGTTCAATTATGTATGGGTAAGCAGCCCTCTTCATTGAAGGTGGGTCTCTTTTGAAAAGAGAATTTATTCCACCTATGAACCTTTTAGAATCTTCAAATTTGAAGGTTATGCCCAAGATAGCAGGATTATTTTAAGAATAAGTATTTGGATACAGCTAAAATCTTGAAAGCCTATCCTTAAATATTGTAAGGAAAGAAATTTCTGGTTTTTCCCCCATTCTCTGTTTTTTATTACAGAGATTATTTTCTCTCTCTTTATCTTTTTTACACACACAAACTCATACTCAAGATAGAACTGAAACTAGTGTGTGTAAATATAGAATATCTACTAGCACATTCGTTAATTAAAACCTCGTTTGTTTATTTTTTGCTCCATTTAAACTATAAGGAAGATACTACAGTATCCTGAGAATGATGATTCTATTAAAACACTAAAGAAAGATCCTTAAGCGAAACTGTAAGCATTTGAAACAAAAACAAAAATTATCTCCTGCTGAGGTCATAAGGAACACATAAACTTAGGAGACCTTGCTTAAAGCAACAATTATTATAAATTAAAAATGACTCTTAATAATGGTTGTATACACTGTAATTTTTCCTAAAAAGAGATCATTATGTCCTCAGTTACTATATCACTTAGAACTCAGAAAGCAGAACCATTATGAGTGATATGGAAGTACAGGTTTGTTATAGGAGCTAGATGACGCATAATTTTTGAGACTGAAAAAGTCTATGGAAAGCTGTTGCTGCTACATCGGTTTATGGTTTTGATGCTGTTGTAGGTCATCAGGGCTGCCAGTCAAGAAAAAATGCTGGACATGAACTAGCATATATCAAGGACCAACTGGAATCTGCAAGGAAAAAGTGGAACCCATGCCTGTCTCACCACCTCAAACCTTGATGACATGGATGGGTGACACACAGAAAAAGCTGGTGCCCTTTCCCACAGACCTGCAAATGTGCCTAGTACAGGACATGGAAGGGCTGAAGGATGAGATCCAATGGGAGTTGAGACAGCTACAAACCCAGTTACTGGCTACAAGCTCAGTTGCTAGCTCACCTTGGCACAGGACTGGCTGAGCAGCTCCATGACGATGTGCATGAACTTCAGGGATGCCTGGAACCCTACATCATCCTTCAAGGTGTAATGGCTGCTGCTTTACTTTTACCTTGCAAAACTTGTGCAAATTTCTCTTGTGGCCAATTTTAATCAGGAGCCATAGAAGGAAGGGCATTCTCAGAAATGTATTTCTAGCTCAGTTAATTTGACACTGAGCAAAAGAAGAAAATATGACAGCCCACTCCTTGTCAACTTGGTACCCTTACAAACTTCTTTTAAGCATATTTAACTTCCAGGTAAACATGTTAGAACATGATGCAACTACAATTTGTACAACCAAAAAGACACTTTCTCTATGAAACAGCCTTATAGTCACACTCTCCCGCTGATATTCTGTAACTTAAATATTGAACTATGACATTAACCACTATTAACATGCCTTATATTGGATTATAGAAAAATAGAAGAGGGGTACTAAGTAATTTTTACACATACACACATATACAGTCATGCACCTTGTAACGATGTTTCAGTCTACGATGATGGTCCCATGAGAATATAATGAAGCCAAAAAATTCCTATTGCCAGTGATTTCTTGATGATCCTGATTTTGTGCAGGCCTAAACTAATGTGTGTATTTGTGTCTTCATTTTTAACGAAACATTTAAAAAGTAAAATAAAAATTAAAAAGAGATAAAAGCTTTTAAATGCAAATTAAAAAGAAGATATTCTTGTACAGCTATCCAATGTGTTTAAGGTAATTGTTATTACAAAAGAGTAAAAAAGTTAAAAATTTAAAAGCTCATAAACTAAAAATAAGCTACAGTAAGCTAATTTCTTATTGAAGAAAGATTTTTTTGAAGTAAATCTATTGTAGCCTAAGTGTACCATGTTTATAGAGTCTACAGTACTGTATAGTCATGTCCTAGGCCTTCACATTCATCCACCGCTCACTCACTGACTCACCAAGAGCAACTTCCAGTCCCGCAAGCTCCATTCATGGTGAGTGCCCTTTGCACATGTACCATTCTTCATCTTTTATACTGTAATTTTTACTGTCCCTTTTCTATGTTTAGATAAGCTTAGATGCACAAATCCTCACCATTGTGCTTCAATTGCCTACAGTACTCAGTATGGTAACATGCTGTGCAGGTTTACAGCCTAGGAGAAATGGGTTCTGCCATACAGCCTAGATGTGTAGTAGGCTATACCATCTAGGTTTGTGTAAGTACACTCCAAGATGTAAGTATGATGACAAAATTGCCTAATGATACAATTCTTAGACTATATCCCTCTCGTTAAGTGAAGCATGCCTGTAAATAAAATTAAGAAAGAAATACTCATAAATATTAAGTCCTCATTTCTGCTATTGGCCATATGGTCATAGCTTGTATTGATGACTTCCTTCTTGCACTGCCCACTTCATATTTCCCTTGCCCTCAGCAAGCACCTCACCTTGCTGTGATCCCATGCCTGGTGGAGTGATTAAAACTCCATTCCTAAAGTGTCAGCCATGAGAAGTCCTGTCTTTATTGGGCTACCATGGTTTTATATTAACTTTTGCCACAGGATAAGGGAATAAAAAGCAGTACCCAAGGTGACCAGGGTATTCCAGAAAGCACCTACTCCCGTGCCCACTCTATGCTGGAAACCCAGTTTCCCCCCTTGATAGTCAGCATCAAACACTTCAGCCAATCCAGTAGCCACTTATTTGCATGCTGATTTACTGGCATCACAGTTCTCAGGGAGCAGTCTCGACTTCCAATTTAACAGGAGTGTTACTGTGTTTCCTGGCAGAAGCATTATTCTTCTGGAAAAGTAAAATGCCCTAAAGCAGCAGAGCCCAAAGTCACCAGGACTAGAAGCAAAAATACTGTTAGTGGATCACAAAGGGTAAACTAAGAGCAGCTGATCTCATTCCCATTCCTTGATCATGTTATGGGAGAAACAGCACTATACTTTGGTTGCTGATTTGGGATATGTACTACATCCATAGGACACTACACCAGCCCTATAAGATGATGTCCCCCACTTGGGAACATAACAAAATCTTCAAAAGTCCCTTCCTTATCCACACTTCATTAGCTGTGAGATGAGTTCCTTGGTCAGAAGTAATGCTACGTGGAATATCATAACAGTGAATAAGGCATATACAGTTGGTGGTTTTAGCAGAACAAATATGTACAGTGAAAGCATATTCATATTCTAACCAAGTGTCTGTTCCAGTGAGGACAAAATGCTGCCCCTTCCACGATGGAAATAGTCCAGTGCCATCATCCTGCCAACATGTAGCTGGCTGACCCCTCCAGGGAATGGTGGTGCCAGAAAATCTTGTAGGTCCTTTGGTAAACCAGACCCAAATATTTTCTTGTTCAACGATGATCAAAGGGAACTCTCAAAGAGGCCACACCTGCAGTTGAGAAAGAGGAGGCCATGTAAAAGGTGTATGAACCATGAGCTTTTGTACAACTTGCTTACGAAACTTACCTGTGCCTTCATGACCTGTGCAGGCTGGATCTTATATTAACCATTTCCATTTGATGAGGGGATGTTGCTGTGCATACCCAACTTCATGGTTTGGTAAGACAACACCTACTTCATGTTGGGTACCTCAGGTGGCACAGAAAATTGATGACTAATGGTCTAGCATTTAATCTTTACTAGTTCCCAGTAACAGACCAGAAACTATTTCTTAAAACAAGAATTGATATCTGCAGAAGATGGTATAGCCTTATTGCAAAATGATAAGAGTCTCCACAGTTATTTACCTATAAATGCATGCTATGGGCTGTTAACATCATCCCATTGCCCATGGACACTTCAAGCACCATAAGATCTGCTAGGTCCTAGGGCCCAAGTGGTACAGCAGCTTGCACATCAGCCTGGACCTGTTGCAGAGACGTCTCTTGTGCTAGGATCTACACAGAAAGCTGGCATCCTTTCGAAGTTATTTGATAAATGAATGTAAGAAGCACACCCAAATGAGATATTTGATGTCTCCAAAATCCCCCTCTAGGTATGTCCCCTTTTTTAGTGGTAGGAAATGTAAGACACAGCAACTGTTTTTTTTAACTTTGGAAGAGATATCCCAAACTCTTCAGTCCACTGTTTCTCTAGACGTTTCTAGGGATGGCAGATCCTAATTTTTGTGGGATCTATTTCCCACTACTTGACATGCATCTGTCTTGTTTCATTATCCAGAGTAGCTTCTACTTCTGCTCATAAGTTCAATCAGCATGACATCAACAATGTGATGGCCTACCATGATGTTCTTTTGAATTGTGAGGCAATTAAGCTCCCTGTGGACCACATTATGACATAGGGCTGAAGAGTTAGTATAGCCTTGAGGTAGGACAGTGAAGATATATTGTAGCCCTTTCAACTGAAAGCAAACTGTTCCTGAGATTTTTGCTAAATGGCATAGAATAAAAAGTATTTGTCAGAACATTAGCTGTATGCATACCTGGCACCGATTTTTCTCCAGAAAGAAAATACATCTGAAATAGCAGCTGGAATTGGAGTTACTACCTTTTTAAGGTTGTAGTCACTCACTACATACTGCAATATTAGTCCTCTGCACTGGCCAAATAGGCATGTTAAGTAGAGATCCCCAACCCTGTATTTTTCAAGCCTTTGATATTGGCAATAATTTTTGCAATTTCTCCAGAAAGCCATTTGCTTTTGGTTTACCATTTGGGTAGGTAGAGTCACTTCCAGTGACTTTCGCTTGTTCTTGGTCTGTTCTATCATAATAGCCCTAACTGCATAGGTTATGGGAATCAGTGTCAAGATTCTGCCAATAGTTGAGTCTATTATTCTATCTACGTATTTATAAGTGAGGAAATCACCCCAGTGTAGGTTTGGGGGCCCCCTGGACCCACTGTAAGAGGAAAGCAGGCCTGTGAGAGGAAAGAAGTGTTCACCTAACATCCTTTGGTCTTTACTCTGAGTGGTGGATCACAGTGATATTCTTTGTCTCCAAAAATTAAGATCAGAGCCAGGGACCAACAATTCTTCTGAGAAATGGCCATGTGTCCCTTCAGGGCAAAGCTGGGGAAGAACATTTACAGTGTAAACTTTTGGCTGTAAAGCAGGATGCTTCCTCATGTATGTCCTGGCCTCCCCTTCATTCAGGGGCTCTGGGTCTATAAATCAGCTCAATTCTGGAAGTGGCTGAAAGGCATGATCATTATAATGATTAAAGTTAGACTTCCATCCATTAGAAAAAATTGTTACCGTATATATATCAAATATTTTTAAAGTCTGCCAACCTATTTCTGTTCTAGTCATACTCTATTGGCCAACTCAAAGTTCTCTGTGGGCCAAACCACTCTGTCTCCAGCCATTAAGTGCCACAACTTGGTCCCTGTCACCACAGGATCACATCATCCCCACTGAATTTCGAGTCAAATTGCAGTAGTATCCACTGATATTTCTGGACTACTAGGAATACCCAACCTGGAGCTCCCTCACAGATGTATGCTGCAAAGCCTGAGTGAGAGAATGTCCTCCAGACATAGTAGGGAGGTGAATGAGCAGGTCCTCTTCAGTATTCCAACCTTGGATGGGTACCACCATCTCCAGAGTACCAAGGAAGTTCACTCTTCTAACCAAGATGACTATTAGAGCCATTCCCAGCTGCGAACACATTGAATCTACAATCTCTTTTAAGTGCACCCATATCAGCAAATTGAGACTAATATGGTCTTTGATCCTTATCTAACACCCTTAGGATCCATTCTCATTATTATCCAATTTATATCACCATACCTGGAAACATGTTTCCAGGTATGTTGGATAATAATTTTGTTTGTTTGTTGTTATAGGCAAATATTTTATTTGTTTGCCTTTACAGGTACCCCTGGAGCCTTGCCAAGACAGGATTTTAATTACAGGCCTAGAAGCAATAAGACATGGTGGAGGCAGGCTCTGAAGAGGATCCGCAGTCCCCAGACAGGCAATTATTACAGGGGAGACGAATGCAGGTTTTCCAGGCAAGGACTTTGACAATGCGGGTTACCCACTGAAGAAGCTGGTACCCTTTGCCACAAGTCTTTCATGCGCCTGGTCCAGAAATTGAAGAGCTGCAGGAGGAGATCAACCAGACAAGAGCTGGAGGAGCTGCAAACCCTGCTGCTTCCCAATGACAATCTGGCGAGCCAGCAGATCAGGGGGAACATGTGATCTGCAGGGGTGCCTGGAGCCCACACAGACAGATAGGGCATAAAGTCTACTTCCAAATCTCACACAAATTTCTCCTGTGGCCAACCCTAACTGAATTTACACAAGCAAAAGAATTCAGGAAAATATGGTTCCAGCTTAACAGAGTTGATGCAGTAAGGAGGAAAAAAAAAATCACAGTTACATATCCATGTGAATGCGGATTTATACTTAAACATACAGTGATACTTAGAAAGAACCCTTTTTTCTGTTTGGTTTTGAACTTGATTTACATGAAGTGTCAAATTCTGACTACTACTTTTTTAGTGTCCCACTGAATTCTGATTGAATCCCTTTCCTTTCTTTCTTGATTATTGGATACAGCATTTGTATGGTTTCAGAAAAAAAATAATATGGAGTTTGAGCTTTGAGTTTCTAGTGAAAATCTTTGACTGTGGGCAGAGTTTCCCAGATTAATATGTAGCCTCAGTCTTCTTCAGAATTCTTATCAATCCACATCATGATTATTTTTGCATGTAGATTTAAAAGCACATTTATGTGTTGACATAGCCCACTGAGGAGAAACATTTCTCAGATATACAATGCATATTTTAATGGCAGGGATGAGATCCCTTGCTGCATCCTCAAGCATGTCTGATACATTATCGAATGCTTTATTCATTCAATTCAAACAAAACTCTAATTTGTCCCCATTGTTTTCATTCACACTGTTAGAGACAGAAACTTTCTAGGTCCAATGTCAGGTCCAATATTTCTGTGCAGGAGAAAGTTGATTGGGAGGGGGAGTCTGGAGCTTCTAGAGATAGTACTTTACATGATATGAGGAATAAAAATGGTCAATGAAGAGGGAATTATAGCGGTCAAGAGGGAGCCTAACTTCCCCACTGAGCCACCCTGGATGCTGCCACTATTTTTGTTTGTAGCTTGCCATTATCTAAGCCATTATCCTTTGAGATCTCTCTGCTGTGCTTAACTTCTCAGTTAGTATAGAACAATGACTTGCCCCAAATGGGCTGGCAGTAAGAAGCAAGTTCAATCCAAATTGAAATCTGTTCATTTATATTTCCTCAGTTACTCTTGGGAAGTTGGCAAGGAGAAAGGAAGAAAAGGAAGATATCAGGAAGGAAGGGGTCCACGGTTGTAACTCCTTGATTTATCAGACCTGTGACTTTACAATACTCAGGTTCTCTCTTTCTTGCAAAGTTTTGCACACAGTAAACCACTCAGTAGAATTTCATTTAGTTGAAAACATGGAAGTGATTTGCAAATGTGTGAAAGGAGATCATTTTTAGGATTTCGCATTCTTGAATAGTTGCAGATTTGAATCTATGGTACATTCAATAGAAGAAAAATAAAGGGCCACTTTAATCCTGTATCCGCAGGTTAGATGGAAGGGAATTGAAAGGAAGGAGGTAAGAGGTAGTTTATTGAGGTGGGGAAGTAATTAAGCTTTTGCTTCCCTTTGCAGCTAGTCTACTTAAATACGAAAGATCCTATAGACACAGTTATGCAGTGAAAACAAGACACAAATTTTTGACAATTGCATTTTTTGTGTAGATCAAGTACAAAGTCTCCATCATTTAAAGACTTTCCAAACACAGATAAGTGTTAATTAATATATACCCTTATGTCTATTTGTGCTATTGGCTCCTTAAATGAAAATTCTAATGAATGTTTTGACTCCCTCATTTTTGCACATAAATGAAACAATATGTGGATTAGAGGTTATACTGCCTAAGCAGCTTTTTTCTTTAATAAATTATTCAAATCAGTCAGTAATCAATGTCAACTATCACACATATATGAATTTGGATGGTCCAGAAAAATAGTGGATAGAAATCACTTGTTGGAATTTCTTATGAAGAGATATAGATAGATAGATAGATGATACATAGATAGATAGATAGATAATAGAGATAGGACATAATTTCTTCATATATATTGTTCTTTATATTTTGAATTTCAGGAGCTTGTGCTTAAGAGCATGGATAAAGTTTGTCTTGAATCAGGGATTGTTTGAATTATTTAGATACTTCCACTGGAAGCTAAAACATTGCTGAAATTCTGAATTTAACAAGACAATCTCTTAATGATATGGTTTGGCTGTGTCCCCACCCAAATCTCATCTTGAATTCCCATGCGTTGTGGGAGGGACCCAGTGGGAGGTAATTGAATCAGGGGGGCAGGTCTTCCTAGTGCTGTTCTCATGATAGTGAATAAGTCTAATGAGATCTGATGGTATCATAAGGGGGAGTTTACCTGCCCAATCTCTCTCTTTGCCTGCTGCCATCCACGTAAGATGTGACTTACTCCTCCTTGCCTTCCACCATGATGGTGAGGTTTCCTCAGCCATGTGGAACTGTAAGTCCAATTAAACCTCTATCTTTTGTAAATTGTCCAAGCTCAGGTATGTCTTCAACAGCAGTATGAAAATGGACTAATACACCTCATCTCTCGGTGTCCCAGCCACCTCAGTAAATCCATATTCTTCCAAAACATGGTCCTTTTGAAAAGGTAATTACATCTGGTCCCTATCTATGATTTTCCTTACGCATGTAACCAGATCAACTATTTTGGCCATTAATTTATTTAGAAGATAAACCAATTCAGTCTGAAAATATTCAGTTAAATCAATAGTCTGACTTAACTGGCTAATTTTATTTTGTTTTACTTTGAGATTGGATTGTGCAGAGAAGGTGTTTTGGGGAAATGGCCTGACGAATAATAACATGGGTTCTGTTGAGATAACTTTTCCAAATAACACACACCCCTCTGCAAAACAGATGTGGGAAAAGCGAGAGAGAGAGAGAGAGGAGAGAAAGAGAAAGTTGGCTGTTGTTGTTTCCATTCCATGAAGTAAATGAGCAAGAATATCTGACAATCCAAATCTGTGGACAAAAGCAAGTCCCGAGCTATCTCACTACTGTCCTCAGCCCTTGCCCAGTGATGCCCAGGCAGCTCCCCTGCTGAAATCCAAATAAATGGAAAGAACTGCTGAATCAGCAGGTGTTAAGTGACATCTAACAGAAACCAGAGAATAAAATGGATACTATAAACCATAATATCTCCTGCATCTGGATTAATTCCTTTAAGAATTTTCTCTTACTAAGTTCGGTAGGGAGATTCCTCCAAGAGTAACAAATGTTCACAAACTGCAGATCTTTTAAAGAAATAATTACTTTGACCACATGAGACCTAAGAGAAATGTCTGCCTGTCTCTGCTTGGCATCACTGCCACCTCATGGATTAATGAATTCCGTGTCCTCCGGTCGCCTCATTATGTACCCCTGTTTCATGCGACTAGCCAAATGTATCAGAATTCATTTTAATGAATGTGAGTCATTCCTCATTTTTTATAATTTAGACTCACTGGTTTGTAAGTAAGCCATTAACTAAGCTAAAAATAATAGATACTACCTGCTGGAAAACCTGTGTAGTAAAAGGGCTTATTGCCAAGAGCACCAAAGAAAGGGGTGAGGAGAAAAGGGGCTATGATGGTGGAAAAAAATACAGCCCCCACCATTTTTAAGGTTAAAGAAACAGTTCTTTTACCAGAAAGCTTAATTTTATAGTGCCGTGGATTCACAGAGCCAGACAATTTTGTGACCATATTCAGAACCACACTCAGTCTATTTTATAGTAAAGAATTCAAAACATCCATGTTTGTTTTCTCATAGAAAAAGAAGGCTTAGTCTTTCTGGTCATGATGACTCTCCTAACTTCTGCAGTTTAGCATCCCCAAGAGGAGCAAACAGGAGTCTGGGGTCTGAATTAGATGTTTCAGTATTTTAGTAGCTGCTTCTGCTAAATGATAGCTGCTTCTTAATAGTTTCCAATAAAACCCAAAGCCCATAAAACACATTTCCTCAAAAGGAGAGTCTCTGTCTGTCTATACATGTATGTGTTTGGCTCATTATGTGTCTTCCGCCTCAGAATGTAAGTTCTATGTGGGCAGGGATGTTGTTTTGTTAACTGCTATATATCTTCAGGGCTTCACCAGGGGGGTTTTGGCACATAGTGATTTATCCATAAATATAGGCGGATGGATCACCTGAGGTCAGGAGTTTGAGACCAGCCTGACCAATATGGTGAAACCCCATCTGTAGTAAAAATACAAAAATTAGCTGGGTGTGGTGGCATGCACCTGTAGTCCCAGCTACTCAGGAGGCTGAGACAGGAGAATGGCTTGAACCCGGGAGGCGGAAGTTACAGTGAGCTGAGATTGCACCACTGCACTCCAGCCTGGGCAACAGAGCAAGACTTCATCTCAAAATAATAATAATAATAATAATAATAATAATAAATAAATAATTGGCCAGAATAGGAGGTTATAATATCAGAACTGACTACAAAAAATAAGTTCATTAAGTCAAAAACATGGGAACTAATATTTCTCTTAATTCTACTCAATTATAGGGTTATTCAGTACAGAATTTGTAAATGAAAAGGGGAGAAATTAATTCCACGATTTTAATTTGAAATGTGTAATTTAAATGGACTTCTGAGATCAGAGTTATTTTAAGATAAATGCCATGAACTCCATCTCATTATGTTGATTAGCTTCTTTGGCCAACTAGTGTCTATAATTAAATAAGTCCATTGCATTAGCAGTTTCATTCATTCAACCAATTCATATTAATACCTCTCTATGAAAGGCTCTCTGCTAGGTATAATAGATACAAAGCTGGAAAAAAGAAAGGTCTTCTCCCCAGAATAGCTCGTGGTCCAAAAGAGATACAGTAAATCAAAATTATAGCAGCCAGTAATTCCTATGACAAATGTTCATGCAGCTTGCTGCCTGAGATGAGAAGTCACATTAATGATTGTGGAGAGTCCAGAGAATGCTTCCTGCAGGAGATGATGCTAGACTTGAAACTTGAAAGATAAGCAGAATTTGAGAAGAAGAAATGGAAAGGGACACTCTGGATAGAAGGGACTCTGCATTGAAAGTAGAGTGGCCTGAAACATTATAATACAATTTGAAAGCTGGAAGGCGTTTTCTATGCCCCCCCCATAAAAGCGAGGAGATAATGTCCTGCTTCTCATGTGCACGACCTTCACCAGTCTTCGATAATCATCTTGCCAGGCCAAGGTAGGGAACCCACATGATATATAGATACATTTCTGGTTTGTTGGTTGGTTGATTTTGAGTACCATTTATATAGAGTATAAAGGAGACACGTGGCTTTTCTCATTTTTTCTTTTTGAGATGATGTTGTGACATTGTGTCTGGGCATTTTATCTGTGTCATCAGTTGAAATGGTCATCGTCAGGTATTTACTTACAAATAAACCTGCATAAACCTAATTCTGCTGCAAGAGTGGTTTACTATACATGTTGGAATGGGTTTCACTGATAGAATATTGGGCCCATATCTCACATAGGAATTTTTCCAATCTAGCTTAACAGTGTCCTCATTATGAGCTGCTCACAAACTCTAGGGTAGCCTGTCAATCCCTCCCATCAGAACTCAATACCCAAATTTTCCAGTTGTAGTTATTACCACAATGTATATGTAACATAAATGAATTAAAAAGTCATTTGCTTTTTGCTATTTGTAAATCATAAAATTATAAGACTACATTTAATAAGAAGCATCTTCAACAGGAAAGGATATGACAGGTATAGGAAATTTGAATCCAATAACACAAGAAGAAGAGAAAGAAGTGGAGGAGAGGAGGGGGAGGGGGTGATAAATGGATGGCAATCTGCATGATGTCTGGAGTACAGGACACACGTGGTGTGGTAGAGGGAGATTTGACTGGAGAGGGAGGCAGAGAGAATCATGAAGGACCATGGATGTGAAAGCTCTGGGGATAAGTTAAAGGGTGTTTACTCATTGGAGTGGCATGTAAAACTCTTCTTTTGAAACTTCAATATTAAAAGAAAATGCGCCAGTGAGGTGTAAAACATAGATCTTCATTAAATAAAATTATTTTCAACATTTTCTTCCACCAATGTTTAATGTCATCAGATGACATTATACACTACTGTCAAAAGAATTTAAGTGTTTCTCCACTATCTTCAATATAAGTATTTTTCTATTAATATAAATAGCTATTATATATGTGTAATGGAATATTATTTTGTATAATATCCTATTGGATTAATTTTTCTTTGTGTTCATGAGACTTCTAAATAAATCGAATTTAAATTTGTGTTGTAGCATACATTCATGCCTCCTGCTACTTACACATGTGGATGGAAGAAACATCGCCAGTTGTTTTTATTTTATTTAAATGAAGAAAGAAAGTTGGAAGAAAAAGCTTCCCTTCTTTCAGGAAGATAGGTGCTTTTGTACCAAAAAACATTTGTTGAAGCATCTGTAAAATCTTATGTTTAATTAAGCACATTTTTGTCACAATGAGTAAAACAGAAAAGACAGGGTTTTTCAACCTAAGAAAAAGTAAAATAATAAATAAAAACAGCAACATGAAAGCTGATCTTCTATCCACCCACCTTGGTGGAGAATGAAAACAAACAATGACAACTAATTAGTATTGGCCCCAGTACTGTTCTAAGAAGCCAAAAATGAAACACCCACAAAAGAAAATGATTCCTTGTTCACTGCATCGTTTGTCTTTACTTTTGAATGATGAATAAATAAAATTCCAAAGAGTCAAGATAATGCAGAAAATTTGAACACAGAAAGGGTTAGAACAGGAGACTGTTTAAATTTGTCTTTAATCCACAGCCAAACCTGTAAAATTTTAAAGTAAAAAATTTAGAACATTCTTCTAAGATTTCCCAAATTGAATATTTTACATCTCTCTTTCTCAATTGACAGAATGAATAAAATTTCTAAAATAAGTGAAAAAGGGGAAAAAAATAATACCCAACTCTTCTGCATCACAACACGATTGAATTTTGCTGTTGTCTTGAGGTGAGAAGTAGTTACCTTAGCCACTCTCCTAACAAACCTCACAAATATTTTACTTTCTGTTTTCTTTGTCAACAAACTGACGTACCATGGGCGCTACACAGAAGTCCTCTGAAAAGCTTTAGAAATAGATGTCTTTGTCTAATATATGTGTCAAATGTATTTGACAAATTTATTACTTTCATTTCCATTTAAATCTCTGTCTCCAACGTCCTCACCTGTTTGCACTCTTTTGCTCTCGGGCCTGACCCTTTCCTTTGTAATCCCATTAAGAAAGCTGCAAGTTCAAAGTGGAGATGAAATCTGAAACTTTTAAAAGACAGACACAAGGACAAAGAAGACCAGTTTATTCAATGGCCCTAAGAGAAGAGCCAATCAGCTCAGAAATGTAATAAATTTAAGATGACATATTTAGGGATGGATTATTTGGGAGATAGTGTAATATATATATTTCTATTCCTTTTCCAGCTCAAATTGAGAAGACAGTAAATTAAGTATAATTATTTGTATTTCATGAAGAATAATAGCAGAGATTCCTTTTCCTTAAGAAAAATGAAATAAGTGACAAAATCAATCTTACAAATAAAATGCCTTCACACAAATCTAGGCACCCAGAGAACACTCAATAGTTACTGAACAAGGTATTGTTGATCATGAGACAAACCTACTTACAACAAGCTGCAGGGGACTTGGGAAAAACAGCAATGTCTTGTTTGCCAGACATAGGCTTGCCCACCCTCCAGTGCTGGATTAGTAGCAAACAGTAAGAGTGTTTGAAGCAGTGAACCTGAACTTGGAATTCTTATTGATATTCAATCACAGCTACCATCAAAACACAACTTTTGGATACTCATACGTCCCTAAGTGACAGTGGCTCAGCTTTTATTCTCCACTCACTTTAAAATTCAAACTAAAAAGAATTCTATTCCCTATCATAATTATTAAATACCATCATTTTCCCTCGGAACTTTGTGAACTCCTCAAAAATGTTGGTTCTCCACTATACTAGTTAGTTTGCCCTTAAGAGGACTTGAAAACACTTTTCAGCATTGAAAATGCTTTTGGACATCTCTTTTTAACTGTTTTAGTAAATGATGCTCACTATTGGCAGAAAAACAAATATTGAAACCATGGGTGAATTTTTGGCCTTTTGAGTGAGTGACAGGTGTAAGTTGCACTCTACTGCTGGAGGCAGGAAGAAATGGAGACCCTGAGGCTCAGCATATGCTTCAGCCAGGAATCATTTTCACAAAGGAGAAACCCATTCTGCAGAAACAGAGGGGGTATTTTGCATCTTGTCACCGACCCAGGTATGAAAGGGAGAAACTAGACTCAGCAGACTCCAGAATAGGAACTATGAACCTAACTCAAAGTGGATTCACCCAGAAGGTATCTTTGAAAGATCAGCTTGTCTTTGACAAGTTCAGTTTCCACTAAAATTAGGATTATGCTATATTCTGTTATGGTATGATAGCTTAGGGGCAGGAAACAGTAACATAAATTTTAGAAAATTATTAACATTCTGTACTGAAAAATAAGTAAGTCTATAGTGCAAAGAGCCACCTCATCTCATGGACAGTGTAGGGTGGGTTTGGCCATAGCTGCTCTGAAAAGATTCCTCTGTACAACACAGTTTTGGAACTACCTTAGAATTCTCTTTATCATCTACAGTGTTCTCTTCTGAGTATCTTCAATGCTGCTGGGGAGTGTTTTCAATCCTGAGAAGAAATCAAGTGCTAATAAATGCATTATATTGTTTGAGGTTTAAAAAATGTGAAGCTGTAAAGCAAAGGTCAAACTGCAAATGCCTATAAGGGCCAGGAAGATAAAGAAGCAGACCAGGTATAACTGTGCTTGACAACATTACAAGAGTGTTGTGGCCCATGGAAAGGACCAGAGCACTCATACCCAAGGAAACAGCAAGGGTTGCCTCCCTAGCCAGTTATTGCCATGTGAGATGCATCTGTGATCTTGATAAAGAGGGAACAAAATCTGGCATTTTAATATTGAGTATTACTTTTCTATTTATATATGACAAATTGCCACAAACTTAAATTACCACAAAAGCTTAAAACAATAGAAATTCATCTTCTCATAGTTCCAGAAGGCAGAAATTCCAAACCAAGGTGTCAGTAGAGTTGGTTCCCTTTGGAGATTCTGCAGGAGAAACCATTCCATGATTGTCTTCAGTGTCTGGTGACTGCCAGCAGCCATTGCTGCTCCTTGGCTTGGGGATGCACAGCTCCATTCCCTGCCTCCTCCTTCACAAAGCCTTCTTCTTTCTGTCTGTTCTGTTATCACCTTCTCTGCCCACACTCATTCAGGATCATCTCATCTTGAGATCCTTACCTTAATTACATGCAAAGATCCTATTTCTGAATAAAAGCAGATTCTGAGGGTCAAGTAGACATATTTTTGGCAGCCACAATTCAACCCACTACACTTGGCAACTTAAAATAATACGACTTTATTATCTCACAGTTCTTGTGGGTCAAAGCTTACATGAGTTAGCTGAATCTTCTCTGCATCTCACCAAGCTGAAATCAAGATGCTGGCCAGGACTACAAAACAGTCTCAGCTCTAGGTCCTCTTCCAAGCTCACTGGCTGTTGGCTCAATTCAGTTCCTTCAGGGCATATGACTGAGGTCCCACCATTTTTGCTGGCTGTCTTCCAGAATTTGCTCTCAGCTCACAGGCTGCTTGACATCCCCTGCTGTATGGTCCTCTCTACAACGGGGCAGTTTGCTCAGTCAAGGCCAATAGGAGAACATGTACAGCTTTGAATATGTCTGACATCTTCTGTTTCTGACTTCTAGACTGAGATTTAAATGAGCTATTTGATTGTTTCAGGCTTACCTGAGATAATCTCCCTTTTGATTAATTCAAAGTTAACTGATTAGGGACCTTAATTACATCTTTCCCATATAACATAATCTAATCCCTAGATTGAAATTCCATCATAATCACAAATCACTCACACTCCAGGTGAGAGGATTATGCAGGTATATGTACTAAGGGTGGGAATCTTGAGGGCTACAATAGAATTCCACTTTCCACAATGGGCTCTCTTTTTTTAACTACTATATACGTAAAACCAAAAATACATGCCCCATTTGCTCTGAGATCCCAAAGCAAAGAGATAGATTTTCTAAGCTGGCTCTAAAAACAAATGAGAAAGAGTGAACCTATCCCCGCCGCCAAAAAAAAAAAAAGGTATATTTTTAGAAAGGTTGCACATTGAGAATGCAAATAATTCACATTCCAGTGGAGTTAGTGTATGGGAATAACAATTTTGGATACTAATTAGTTTGTTTAAGAAAAAACCTAGTTCTCTTTAAATATCTTTTGGTATAGCCTAGTATGGAACATTACTAACACGCAGTATGTCCATGATATATCACTGGGTTAAAAGCTAGCTGGACATACTCTGTATTACACAATCCAATTTTGACCCCCCAAGATAATAACAATGCAGCCATACATGAGTCTATATGGTACATGTGCACATGTGCATCATGAAGATGGGTGTGTATATTTTAAAAGGCTCCACTGGACCACTGGAAAAAATACATGTCAAACTGATAAAAGTAACTAGCCCAAGTAGGAGCAGGAAGAGTAGAGGTGTTGTGATGGGGAAAATCTATATATACATTAAATCTATGTATACTTTGGTATCATTTCAAATGTCTACAATGAAAAAAAATTGTTTTTGAAATTTAAAATAGATGTTTAAAATCAATGTCTTCAGCCTGGAAAACAGAAGACCTTATCTCTGCAAATTTTTTTTTTAAAAATTAGCAGGACATGGTGGCATGTGCTTGTAGTCCCAGCTACTTGGAGTGCCGAGGTAGGAGGATCACTTGAGCCCCGGGAGGTCAAGGCTGCAGTAAGCAAGGATCACACCACTGCACTCCAGCCTGAGTGACAGAGCAAGACCCTATTTCAAAAGGAAAAAAAAAAGAAATCAATGTCCTTGTTATATGAATCCCCCAGCTGCTATGCTACAGAAGCTGAAAGGTGGCATTGATGCGTAAAAGGGGTTAGGAGTAACACCAAGACAGCCAAGTACCTCATGTGGCTGCTACAGGTTTCATCTCTCCCTTCTCCACTCAAGTTTTTACCAGGTTTCCACCATGAAGAAAGTAAGAAAAGAAGGAAAAAAGACACTGTGTGTGCTACACTCACTGGCCAAGGAATGCCCCAAAGGCCAAGAGGTGGACGATTGCTCAATCCTTTATGAAAACTCCTCTCATGGTTGAAAATAAAAACCTACTTGGCCACCAGTACTTGCTCCCTGGAGTACCTCATAATCCTGAGAACACGATAGAAGATTATGAATGGTAAAAACTCCAAAGACCTCAAGAAACCTGATGGGTCATTGAACATTATTTGAAAAATAATGGCAGTTAAGCTACAACTATATATTAAGACTTAATAACTAACTTCAACCTCACCAGTCAACATGATTTTATTGATGAAAATCTTAGACAGAAAATCAATGTTCTTGTTCAAGGCAGAGAGTTTGTTTAATTAGAATCAGCATTTAATAAGGGATAAACATTAATGTCTTACATAGGACCATCACTTTTTAAAAGCCAAGCCAAATGAGTTGATTGCATTAACTTCCCTTGCCAACAACAAACACCAAAAGAGGGACATCTTTGTCATAAGCATCTTTATCATCGAAGAGCTGAGCCTTTTCTCTGGGATAGTTTAGAGAGTGTCTCTGTACCCAGTGGCAAAGCCCAGAGGTATATTTGCAAATCATTTGCCTCTCCTCACTCAGGCATGCGCTATTGCATCCAGAGCACAGCATTCCTCACCCCACCAGAAACAGAGGCCAATAATGTGGCCAGAGGAGAGGTCTCAAGAGTTCATATTTGCCCTATGAATATAAATGAAATTGGCAAATATTTTAAGGGAAATAAATTCTTAACTGAGGTGCCAGGAAGAAAAGGCAAACCAGACTCTGCGAAAGTATTTACAAAGTGGGCAAGTTTGCATAAAGCACTGTGTCAAACACCAAGAATGCAGATAAAATGGCTTTTCCTCTTGGAGGCTGCAGTAACTAAGGGAACTGGGAAGGACTTAGCAGCCACTTAGGTGTTATTCTGAAGAGTTCCCTGCAGAGAGGCCCTTCTGCCACTGCAGCTATGGTAACTCTGACACTGTGAATATTTGAAGTCCTGGATCTATCAGGAAATTTCCCAAAAACTCTGGAGCAAATATTTTCAACTTGGCACTTTATAAAGAAGCTATAGCCAATATACATCTAAGCAACTGTGCTGCAAATAAAAGGCCAAGGTCAATGCAACACAAGCTAGAACTATCCATAAGCAAAGAAAAAAAAATGGAGGTTTTGTTTGCATACCAATGTGGAATGATAATCCCTCATTTTGTGACTGATATGACTAGTTTTAATATATACTTGTCTCCAAGAGCCAAATTAACTATACATTTTCCCGTTCCTTATATCACTTTGCAGTATATAAGCCAATGTCTAAAAGACAGCAAGTTAATTTATGTATCCTTCCCTTGCCAAGTGTGATTAATTGATGTAATATGTCAATTCCCTTTATGCAAATGTTAAAAATGGATTTTCATTTATATCTATATATATTGTAGATAAATTCTTTCAGAAGGAATGATCTCACTGGGGCAGTCATGGGCAGTAGTTTCTTCACAGTTCAATTTAGGAGATATTTATTGTACTTACTACTCAAAAGGCTCTATGCTTTGTGCTATGGAGGACATAAACTCTTCCTTACTCTCAAAAAGCTTAAAATCTAGCAAGAAAGATCAGCTTTGCTCCCTTCAAATCTGTCCTCTGCAGCCTCTTGTCTTCTTGATCCCAGTAAATGGAGCTACTGTCCACTATATCACTGAAGCCAAAAATCTAAAAGCCATCCTTTATACCCTCTTCTTCACTCTCTACATCCCTTTTCTCAGCAAATCTTTTAGATTCTGACTCCAAAATATATCATGAATCTGCCTTCTGTCACCTTCTCTAAAACCACTTGTTTCATTTTGGTTTCTAAGAAACACAATTACCCCAAAAGTTAGTTGCATGAAATAACCTTTTTAAAAAAATGCTCACAGATTCTGTGAATTAGGAATTCAGACAGGGTACTAGAGTTGGTGTTTGTTCGTGATGCCCAAGCTTTAGCTGGAAGACCTGAAGGCTGAAGGCAGAGAGGATCTGAAGGCAGATTCATTTGGGTGCCTGCAGAATGACACTGCCTGAGGGCTGGAGGTCTCACTTCCTTTACATGAGGGTCTCTCCACATGAATCCCTCCAAATGGCCTCTTCACACGACATAATTTGGGCCTCCTTATAGCATGGTGGCTGACTGCCCATAGCATGAATGCCCCAAAGAGAGATAGCAAGGAGGAAGTTGTATCCTCTTTATTGTCTAGGCAATGAAGTGACAGCATCAAGTCTACCCTACTCTATTGTTTGGAGCAGTCCTAAGCCATTATTCAGTTTAAGTGGAGAGAATATCAACTCCACCTCCCCATGGAAGGAGGATCAAAGCTGTGTGATGGAAGGTAATGTCTGGTCATTTATCTGGAAATACAATATACCATAACTGGACTCTTGCAACAACCTTCTAATTAATCTTCCCCACTCTACCCAATTTCAAAATCCATTTTCCCCTGCAAAGGCAGTGATCATTATTTTTATATTACCATATTTAAAACAGAAACGTCCCTCTTCATCTAGAGCCTATAGATGGATTCCCATTGCACTTATGAAAAAATCCAAACCTCTTAGTGTGGACCCCAAGCCCCTAAACACCCCCCTCCCCCTTGCTTTAGACAAAAATCATCTTTCATTTCCTTGGTGTGCCAAGCTCTTTTCTCCTCCTGGGCTTTTGTGCTCTTTCCTCCCCCTGGGCTTTTTTATATCTTTGCCTCTGCTTGAATGCTCTTCCTCTGCTCCTTCCATAACTGTATCTTCTGATCCCTACCTCTTACCTTCAATTTCATCTTCTCAGGGAGGCCTTCCTTGACGAAGTATCTAAAGTTCCTCAGCCTCGGTGATAGTTCTAATTTGTTTGGTTGGGAGATTTTTTGTAGCATTTCTTACAATAAAATTTCATTATTTATTTGCTTCTTTTCTTCTCTCTCCTCTCGCTCCCTTTTTCTATGTTTGGTCTATCCCTACCACTAAAATATAGGGTCTCTGAAGTTGTTCACTATCATAGTCTAACACCAGCATTTTGCCTAGCACATAGTAGGTGCTTAAGAAATATCTGTGAGATGAAAAACAATGTAAGTATATTTTCTAATAATTATAGAAGAATGTATAATGTGACTAAATATATAAAATTTAAAGTCGGATGGATTACATTTAACCAGAAGGATCAGAAAAGGTTTATAAAGACAAATTTGAATTGGATTTTAAAGTATGTACATAAGAAGAGAAAAATATTATGATACGGAAAGAGAGAGTTATTCAGGTAAGAAAAGCAGAGACTGTTAAGGGAAATTCAAAGAAGCAAGAGTAGACAGAAAATAGGGTGTTTAAGAAGTTAGAAAATAGGGTGTTTAAGAATGGTGAGGTAGTATGAAGCCAGACAATGAATGACCTTCAATGCTATATTTAAGGGTTTTGACATTATTCTGTAAGTAGTAAGGCCTTATTTAATGGTTTAGAGCAGAGATTGAGACATGAGGTGAATTGTATTAAAAGACCATCCTGGCAATAGTGTGTAAGATAAACCTCATAGGATGAAATTGATTAAATATTGGGTAGAGGTTTTTTTCCTACATATATTATCCGCCAAAGGCCTAAATTTTTCTTCACAACTCTTAGTTAAAACCCTATCCAGAAACATGAGGCAGTTATTCTAGCATACAAACTGGAAATATGACACCATTTCTACTTTTTGCTACCAGAGATAAGGGATATTCCCAAATGGATCCTTATTTACCCTGGAATTTACCAACAAACTACTAAAACTCCTCCTGTCTAACATGGATAGGCTTGGATTCACGTGTTAACATTATGATTTGTCAGCTTTCCTCTTAGATGATAGCATCATTTGCTGTATTAGTCCATTTTCACACTGCTATAAAGATACTACCACAGACTGGGTACTTTATAAAGGAAAGAGGTTTAATTGACTCATGTGGCTGGGAGACCTCAGGAAACTTACAAGCATGGCAGAAGGGGAAGCAAATTCAGACCTTCTCACATGGCAGCAGGAGAGAGAGAAGTGCCGAGCGAAGGGGGACGGGCCCATCAGCTCTCAGGAGAACTCACTCACTATCAGGAGAACAGCATGAGAGAAATCACCCCCATGATTCAATTACCTCCACTTGGTCTCTCCCTTGACACATGGGGATTATGGGGATTATGGAGATCACAATTTAAGATGAGTTTGGATGGAGACACAAAGCCTAACCATGTCATTTGCCTAAATAAAACATGGATTCAGGAACATTATTTCCCTCAAATTCCAGGCTTTAGGCCTAAGTGGAGGAAAAACATTGTGATTAAAATAAGAGAAATGCTGACCATTACAACAATTGAGATAAATATCTCTAAATGCAGAAACCATTTTTGAAAGGAAAATAAATCGCAGGACCCTCAAATCACTAAGCCAAGGGAAAGGTCAAGCTGGGAACTGCGTCAGGCAAGCCTGCCTCCCATTTTATTCCTAAATAAGATAGCCACAAAGATTTTTAAAAAGCTGCACACCTCCCTCACAATTTGTCCACAAGGAAATTATTTGCAGACAAGGGACAGACAGAACTCAAAGTCATTCCTCTGCTCACGTGAGACAAATGCACATCTGATGACTTCTTCTTCCCTCTTGTTTCACTAAGCCAGACTAAGGCAAAAGTGACTATTCCTCTACCCACTTCTCACATTAAATTGTGCATTCAGCTAATCAGAGACTCAAAAGAACGCAAAAGGTTGTCTCTTATCTACATATGACCTGGAGGCCCCTCCCTGCTTGAATTGCCCCGCCTTTCTGGACCCAACCAATGTACATCTTACACAAATTGATTGATGTCTCATGTCTCCCTAAAATGTATACCACCAAGCTGTGCCCCACCACCCTGGGCACATGTCGTCAGGACCTGCTGAGGCTGTGTCTCCTGCACATCCTTAACCTTGGCAAAATTGAGACCTGTCTCAGATACTTTGAGTTCACACATTCATTTGTAAGTTTCCAAGTTCAGGGAATAGCAATTTGTTACTTCTCATTTTGACTAAGCTTTCCAAGCAATACAGGTAGCACTCCTTCCCAAAAATGACCCTTAAGTTTTTTCTATCATGGTTTCCAATGTAAAAGCCGCCTCACTTTTGTCAAATCTATTTACCTGACAGCAGGAGACCTGAAGGCTTGGAGCAGTAATGGTAATGCCACAGCTATGGATTATCTCAATCAGTAGGATTTTGTCCTGTGGTGCTCTTTTCTGAGGACGGACATAAATTCAAGAGGATAATAGCTAGTCAAATATAAGCACAATATTAAATTTGTTAATAGCAATCCATGAACAAAATCCTGTTATTGATCTTTTAATATTTAAACCATTTCTGTGTATTGTTACCCTTTGGGTGGATATATTTAGGTTTCTTTGCCTATTGACCCCTTTATAGCTGTTGTTGCACTTGCTTTTACCCATAGCTAAACTCAGAGCATCACAAGGGAGCCACCTAATATCTAACAAATTGGCTACCTAATTTCATAAATAACTTTTGTTGGAGAAAATCATTTTAGAGCTATCTCCTGAGAGAGGCTTTTCTCCATATCTCTTATCAGTCGATTATTTAGAGAATACATTTGGTTTTGAATGCCCCATGTTCTGATAAACAAGGTGCTAACCTCCTGGCTTTTAGTTCGATATGAATATTTTAGAAGCACAGAAAAAAAAAAGAACCTGATTAAGTTAACACGTGGCACTTAAACTGAAGTATAAAAACTGCCTACGAATGTGTTGAGTTTAACAAATGCCTTATTACTTTTAAAACCTCGCAAAACCTGGAGTATAATAAATTCTAGTGGGAGGCCCTGGATTTGGCAGTGAGGACTAATAATTATGGTAGATTTTGGAACACAGTTGCTGACAGCATGGCTCTGGGTAAGGTTTATCTGTGAGCACAGATCTCTATTGACATGTGGGAAGCTCATTCTCACAGCCCTCTGCCCCCGAGGCACCCCACACATCGCTATCATGGCACAATTATAGCACATTGTTTTATAACTGTTTATTTGTCCATCTTTCCCACTAGACTGTGAACTCTTTGAAGCCAGATTTTCTTCCCATTTTCATCTTATTGGGCTCTGTAGTCCTAGTAACTAGCATAAGTTTGACCCATAGAAAAAAATTATCAAAAATTTGTTGTATATATGTGGGTTTTTTTTTAATAACAGGCACAATTGTCTCTAAAACTATAACTAAACTGCTTTTTCTAGGCGAGATCAATAACATCTTCAGTCATTATTCTTCTTACTAAGCTTTCAGTTAAATAAGGACCCAGGAAAAATCTTTTACCCTCTGGGTTATATAAATTTAGGTAGATTTTAATCCTGGTCAGTCCTTGCCAATCACTGCAATCTGTTCCTCGGCAATACATTTTGTGATCATTCAATGTGTCTTACTCATTAAAATCTTTAGATTCTATATATTTTCTGAATAGTACCTGAATGGATTACTATGTTTTCCTCTTCTTGGAAAAGGAAATGAAATATTTTGAAGGCGTCAATAAAACTAGAGAACTATATAATGTACTCACTACCCAGTTTTATCAAATCTTAACATTAGGTCACATTTGCTTCTTTATTACTTTTGAGAAGTTGAACACTATATATATAATCCAGTGTCATCGTGTACCTTTCCTGGTGACTTCTTCCTCTCCTTAAAAGCCTATAGATGTTTTTATACTTTTCTTATGTGCTTCTGTTCCTTAAGCATTGTAGATTACTACTTTGCGGTTTAAATCTCCATATTAATGATATAACATTTCATATATACTTATGTAATTCACATTCATTGTCAATTTATTTATTTATTCAACTAACATCTATTGACCTTCTACTATAGGTCAACCAAAGTGCTGAAGATACAGCAGTAAACATCACCAGTAAATTGCCCTTATAGCACATTCAAGAAGGAAGAGACAGAAAATGAACAAATAAGTGACACTTAACCTAATATGTCAGACGGTGATAGATATTACAGAGAAGAATCAGGCAAAATAAAGGAGATCCTAGTACTTAAAGAGGGCATGTGTTATCCAATGGTTGTTATTATGTAGAGATTTCAGGAAAGACTTTATTGATAAGGAGACACTGGAGCACAATTTGAAAGCCAAGAGTGTGAACCAAGAAGACAACAAAAGGAAGAAAATTCCAGACAGAGGGTCCATCATGCGCATAGGCCCTGAGGTAGAAAATGACCTGGGATGGTTGACGATGACAATGATATGTTGTATTTGGAGGAAGGAGCTATGTTATAAAAGGACCTGTAGCCATTGAAAGGATGTGGCTCTTACTTTGAGTGCAGTGGACAACCTTTGAGTGATTTTGAAGAGAGAAGTGATGTAATAACACTTACATTATATTTGTTTTAGTCTGGCTGAGATGTAGAAAACAGACCATGGAAGGGCAATGGTGAAAGCAGGAAGACCCAGTTAGGAGGCCATCTCATAATTCAAGCTGAAATGCTGGTGGCTGGTAAGAAGTGGTCAGATTCTGGATATGTTTTTAAAGAAGAGCTGGCAGAAGTTGGTGATGATTGGATGTGAGGTTTGGAAAATAGAGGAGTCAAGGATTACTCCAAGGTTCGAGATTTGAACAACTGGAAAGAGAGAGTTATCAATAACTGTGATGGGGAAGACTGGGAGAAAAGTCAGGCCCAGAGATAAAAACTTGCAGATTGATTTTAGTCATGTTGCGTTAGATATATATGTCTGTTAAACAGCCAGGAGTGTTCAGTGGTATATATCTGGAGTTCTGGAGTTCAGGGGGAGGTCCAATAAAAATATGCAAAACTGTTAAAGCTGGAATTCAGCCCTAACGTGTGTGCAAAACCAAGAGACTGGATGAGATAACCAAAGAAGGAGGTACGGATAGAAAAGAGAAAAGAAAAGGCTAAGAATGAAGCCCTGGCATATCCCAATGTTTACAGTTTAGGGAGATAAGATAGAATCAATACAAGATATCTAGGAATAAAAAGAAATATGTAAGATTATATGAAAGAAACTTGCCAGAAAAAAATAAACAAAATGATGTAAAAGAAATGAATGATACACCAAGCTCTTGGATCAAAAAACTCAGTGTTAACAAAGATATTAATTCTCTGTAAGTTAATTTATAAATGTAATGGGTTGCTGATAGAAAGTACCCATGAGATTTTTGTGGCACTAGACACCTGTGCTATCTGTGGGTGGAAAAATAGACAAGAATAGTGAAGGAACTCTCAAAAAAAGGTGGGGAGCAATAATGGAGGAATTAGCCTGATTAGATTTTAAAATCTACTTGAAGCCTCAACCCCTAAATTGAAACAATGTGTTAGTGGTATATAAATAGACAAATAAATCAATATATAGAAATAAGGAAATCTAGAAGTAGCCTAAATTTGGCCTTTAAAAGATGGAATACTCAAAAAAAATGGAATAACCTGGTAGTCATCTGGAAAAATAAAATAAAATTATATCTAAGCCTTATACCATATTCTAAGCATAAGTTCTAAGAGGTCCAGAGATTTAAATGTTTTAAATAACAGATCAATAAAAGCACCAGAAGAAAAATTGGGGAAATTGTTTTATAATTTGAGCGGGGCCAGTTCTTCTAACCAAGATACAATATCAACAAGTTACAAAACAAAAAAGAAACTTCTGCATGGCAGGAAAAAAGAGTATAAACAAAGAAATAGCAATAGAAAAGTAAAAAATATGTCACAGACAGAATGGCTATTGTAGCTTCTTTTATTAGCTCCAATATTTAAAGAGCTCCTAGAAATGGATAATAACAATAACACAGTTTTTTTAAAAATTGGCAAAGGATAAAAACAAATAATTTGCAGGAAAAGAAATACAAAGTTTTAAACATATGAAGAAATATTCAACTTAAGATAGAAAAATGCAAGTTAAAACTAGTTGCCATTTTCTACCTATAAGAATTAAAAAATTAAAAATTTCATAATAAGACCTCTTGGTGAGGTGATGGGGAAGCAGGTACTCTCATACATTGCTAGAAGTTTAAATTGTCACAATCCCTTGGAAAAGAAATTTATCAGTATCTAAAACAAATTAAATGCCTTTTTTCTTTGACCTAGGAATCCCGCCTCTGGAAATTGATTCACATATCCCTACACACATACAAAATAGTATATACACAAGGTCATTGATTGGATCATTGTAAATGCAAAAGTATGGAAACAATTGAAATGTTCATCAATAGAAAAGTGGTAAAATAAATTAGACACTTGTTAAAAAATAATTGAAAATCTATTTTGTGCTGATAAGAAATGGCCTCCAAAACACATCATTAATTGAAAAAAAGAATTATGCAGCAGTCAGCATAATATTCTACATTTATGTTGAAAATAGAGGAAAATAAGAATATTTATTTGTATTTTCATGTGTTATACAAATAAACTGAACTAATACACAAGAAAGAAATAATAGTTGGGAAAAGAGAGTGGAAATTGTGTAGAAAAGAGATTGGGGTAGATGGAAGAGTTTTCACTGCATATAGAATCTTTATATTTTAAACTTTCTGAAATATGGGTCTATTATCTATTGAAAATATTTAATTAATAAAAGAAGAATAATTGAAATTTGCAAATAATATTTTGGGAGGCATCTATTTTTGATAAAATAAGAATTTACAAATATTAAGCAAGAGAATGGTAGAAGAATTGGAAACATTAAGTTTAGTCAGCTCTTCAAAGAGTTCTACTATAAAGGAAATGGGATAGTAGCTGGAAGGGAATATAAGATAGTTGTATGCTCATGGGAATAATCCAGTTGAAATAATAAATTTGGTCATGCAGATAAGACAGAAATTCTTAGGAGTGATGTGCTACAGTGAGTCAGAAGACATGGGACCTAGTTTACTAATTATGATTAACATTATGTTTTTGATATTTATCCATGTTGATGGACATAGCCCTTGTTCTTGTTCATTCATTGTACTGAATGTAGAGTTTCTTTATATAAATATACCATTACAGTATTTATTCATTCCTCTATTGAAAGACATTTGGGTTGCCTCCAGTTATTTACCATCATTAATGATATTGTTAAGAATATTCTTGTATGTGTCTTGCAGCATTCATACTAAATCCCTATGGTTTATATTTTGGGAGTACAATTGCTGGATTATCTAACATGAGCATCATCAGTGTTCCTTGATAATGTTAAATTATTCATTATTCCCCAAATTGGTTGTAGCAATTTACCACTCTTCTTCTTTTTTTTTTTTTTTTTTGTTCTTTTCTAGAAACAGTGTCTAGCTCTGTCACCCAGGCTGGAGTGCAGTGGCCTGACCTTGGTTCACTGCAGCCTCAACCTCAGGGGCTCAAGTAATCCTCCCACCTCAACTTCCCAAGTAGCTGAAACTACAGGCACATGCCACCACATTCAGCTAATTTTTGTACTTTTTGTAGAGATGGAGTCTCACTATTGCTGCCCAGGCTGGTCTCAAACTCCTGGGCTCATGTAATTCTCCCTCTTTGGCCTCCCAAAAAGCAGGGATTATAGGTGCGAGCACCGCCCCCTGGCTGTAATTTATATTCCTAGCAAGCAGTTTGTTGGTTTTCTATTGCTCTACACCCCTCCCTACACTTTGAATTTTGACAATCTCATGAGCATGAAATAGTATCTCCTTGTAGTTGTAATTTATATTTACCTGATCACTAGTAAGTTTGACTATCTTTTCTAATAGTTATTGGGCATTTAAGTATCCTGTTCTTTGAAATGCTAAACTATATATTTGCCCATTTTTCAATTTATTTGTCTTTTTCTTACTTATTTTTAGTATTTCTCTATATATTTTAACACTAATTCTATAACATAATATCTAACATTATTAAGTGCTTATAATATGCCTGGCCTTGTTTTGGGCACCTTCTGTTAATTAACCCATTTGATCTTTACAATAGCCCTAAAAGATGGGAAGATTTGTTATCTTCAGTTTGTGTATAGGGAACTGAAGCACACAGATGTTACATACCTTACCCAAAGTTGTCCAGGTTATAAGTGGTGAAATCTGGTTTGAACTCTGGTAATTTAGTTCCAAAGAATATTTCTCACTGTTTCTCAATCCTGCTTTCATTTTGTATATTGAAAAGATCTCTCAGTCTCTGGCACGCCTTTCCATTTTGTTTATGGTATCTGTTCATATGCAGACTTGTTCTCTTTTTGTGTTTTTATTTTTTTAACTTACTCAGATCTGTCAATGTCTTCCTTATTTTTAAAAACTAATTCCATTATCTTAGGATCATGATGATATTATTACTTATTTTCTTTAAAAGTTTTCAAGTTTTGCCTTGGACATTTTGGTCAGATTCCCCACCCCACCTTAGAATTAATCTTTTCTCTTTGTATGTGGTTTGATATAGGGTTCTATCATTATTACTATATTCTATGTGAATTATGAATTTCTCCATCAGCATTTATTGCTTAGCTCACTGGCTTATAAAGTCATCTCTGTCACATATCAATAAAAGGATTATTTTTCTGGCTCTCTATTCTGTTCTGTTTGCCTATTTGTCTGCCTCTGCATAATACACACTGTCTTAATTTCCAAAGCTTTCCAAGTTTTGTTATCTGCTAGGACTTGCCCCTCCCAACTTGTTCTTCCTTAGATTTTCCTTACTATTTTTGCCCGTTTGCTCTTCTACATTAACTTTAGAAACCGCTGTTTTAGTTCCATGAAACACTCTGCTTAGATTTTTATTGAACTAGCATTGAAATATATTGATTACTTGCCTAGAGTTTATATCACTGCAATATTGAGTCTACATTTAAATTAACACGATGTAGTCTTCCTTTACATACGAGCTTCTTTTATGTTATCAAGAATTTTTGTAATTCCTACATAAATTCTTAGAGATTTTTGTGATATTCAGTATTACATGCCTTTAATATTTTGTAGCTTAAAAATTAGTTTTTTCTATTATATTGTCTAAAGGGTTATTGTAAAAGAAAGCCGTTGAGTTGAGTATGTTGGGTTCATATCTAACAATTTAGCATTCATATTAGTTGTAATAGTGTGCATATTATCTAATTATATGATAATTATATTGCCTAAGAAAAAATATTTTGTCTTTTCCTTTTTTTTTTTTTTTTTTTTGAGACAGAGTCTCCCTCTGTCACCCAAGCTGGAGTGCAGTGGTGAAAACATGGCTCACTGTAGCTTCAACCTCTCACGTGAGCCTTGACCTCCCAGCCTCAAGTGATCCTCACACCTCAGCCTCCTGAGTAGCTCAGCTCACAGGCACATACCACCGCCACACTCAGCTAATTTTTTGTATTCTTTTGTAAAGACAGCACTTCGACATGTTGCCAGGCTGGTCTTGACCTCCTGGGCTCAAATGATCCACCAGCCTCAGCCTCTCAAAGTGCTAGGATTACAGGCATGAAGCAATGCTCCCGCTCCCAACCTATCTCTTCCTTTTTAATTCTTACCATTCTTACTTCTTTGTTTTGCCCTATTATAATGACTGGGATGTTAGGACAATATTGAATAGAAATGTTGAGTGCAGGCATTGTTATTTGCTTCTTAAATGAGAATGCTTCTAGAAGCTTAACACTAAGTATGATGTTTGCTACAAATTTCTAAACATGTATTTTCACATCAAAATCTACTTTGTCAGAAATTAAAGTTAAACTGTATAAAGCTTCACTTTATTCTTGCTTTGTAAAGCATTTTTATCATGAATTAGTGTTAAATGTTATCAATTTATTTCTTTTGAATTAATTGAGATAATATGTATTACATTACTATATTCTGCTAATGTTATATCTTCCTTCCTTTCATAGAATGCTTGGCCATGATATGTTTTTAATATATTTTAATTTGCCAATTTTTAATTTATATATATTTACATCTGTATTGTTAAGTGATATTGGTTAATAATTTATTTTATTTTACTGATCTTATCCTGTGCTTTGTTGTCTTTATCAAGGTTATATTTACCTTGTCTCTCTTTCAATTCTCTGGAGTAGTCTATTAAAACTGAGAATTATTGTTATATGAAAGCCTGGTAAAACTCATTTATAAAACAATGCAAATGGACCTGTGGAGGCAATATCGAATTCTTAGTTGCTATTAGTTTGTTCATTTTCTTCTATTCTTGAGTTAGATTTGGTCACTGAAAATAATATCAACAAATATTAGAAAATATTTATGAAGCACATAATATTTGCCTGGTGGTGTTCTCTGCATGTTACAATCATTATTATTTTTATCTTTATATCAACTCTATGAGGTGCTATGATTATCCACATTTTCCAAATGGAAAAGCTGAGAGTTTAATTAATTTGCTCAAGATCACACCATGAGTAAGGAGTAAGCTGAGATTCAGGCCCAGGAAATATGACACAGAGGCTACACTTTTAATCATTATACTATGCTGCTTCTAAAGAAAAATAACAACAAACATTTTTTCTGGAAAATTATTTCTTTCCCTAAGTATTCTAATTTACTGAAATAAGGTTGTTCATGATATTTTCTTAGGAGTTTTAAGGCTCAAATGCATTTGCACTTGCCGCCTTTCCATTCCTAATCTTGTTGATTTGTGCCTTTTTTTAGATCAGTATTGATTGAAGTTTGTCGATTTTATTAATCTTTTTAAACAACCAGCTTCTGGTTTTGCTGATACTTGGTATTATTTGCTTTCAATTTTATTAAAATATGCTCTTATCTTTACTATTTCCTCCCCTCAACTTTCTTTCGTTTATTATGTGGTTCTCTTTGTAGCATCTTAAATTGAAAATTTAACTCATTTATTTTTTATTTTTATTTTTAGATAAATGTACTTAAAGCTGTAGACTAATTACAAATATGGATTAAACTGGGTCACAAATGTTTTGATATGTAGCTTTATTGTCGTTAACTGTAATTATTTCCTAATATCTATTTTACTTCCTTCCTTAACCAATAAGTATATGATTAAGTTAGTAAATTTATGTGGGTTGTGGGAGATACTTTATACTATTGTTTTCTAGTGATCAGAGAAGGTAGCATACTAGCCTTTCTTGAAATTATGTTGTGACTGGTATTTTTAAGTAGTATATAATCAATTTTTTATAAATGCTCCATTTGTACTTGAAAAAATATGTATTCCCTGCTGTGAAACATTTTAATATATTTATTATATCAAGCCTATTAATTGTACCTTTTTTTTTTTCATTCAGGGTCTCACTCTGTTGCCCAGGCTGGAGTGCAGTGGCACAATCATGGCTCACTGTGGCCTCGAACTCCCAGGCCCAAAAGATCCTGCTACCTCAGCCCTCCAAGTAGCTAGGACTTCAGGCACATGCCACCATGCTTGGTTAATTTTCATAATTTTTGTAGAGACAGGGTTTCCCCACGTTGCCCAGTCTGGTTTCAAACCCCTGGGCTCAAGCAATCTGCTCACCTCAGCCTCCTAAAGTGCTGGGATTACAGGTGTGAGTGACCATGCCTGATCATAATTGTACATTCTTGTACAAGCCTTTTTCGTAGACATGTTTTCATTTCCTTTGGTTAAATACCTAAGAGTATAATTTCTATGTCATAGGATATTTGTGTGTTTAGTTTTATAATAAACTGCCATTAGTTTTCCATGTGGCTGTACCATTTTGTATTCCCACCAGCAATGCATGAGATTTCTTGTACCATATCCTCATCAATACCACTTATTGTCAATTCTTTTACTTTTAGTTGCAGTTCATTGAAATTTTTTTTTCTAACTATTGATAAGGAACATCTTTTCATATGCTTATTGGACATTTGTATATCTTCTTAAAAATCTGTTGGAGTCTTTTGCCTTTTTTTTTTCTTTTTTTTGAGACAGAGTTTTGCTCGTCACCCAGGCTGGAGTGCAGTGGCACGATCTTGGCTAACTGCAACCTCCGTCTCCTGGGTTCAAGCAATTCTCCTGCCTCAGCCTCCTGAAGTAGCTGGGATTACAGGTACCCACCACCACGCCCAGCTAATTTTTTTGTATTTTTAGTAGAGACGGGGTTTCACCATGTTGGCCAGGCTGGTCTTGAACTCTTGACCTCAGGTGATCCACCCGCCGTGGCCTCCCAAAGTGCTGGGATTACAGGCGTGAGCCACTGAGACCGGCCTTGCCCATTTGTTAATTGGGTTATATATTGTATTGTAAGAGTCCTTTATATATTCAGCACAGATGTTCTCTTCTCTCAGTAGTACTGCCGTTTTGATTTTCTTAATGATGTCTTTTGATGAGCAAAAGTTTTTAGGTGTTATATAATATTGTTTATAAGTGTTGATAAATCTTTGCCCTTAGGTTGCAAATTTTTCTTCTAGAAATTTTATAGTTTTAATTTTTACATGTATGTCTGAGATTCATTTTGAATCAATTTCGTGGTGAGGCAGTCAATCATAGAAAGTCCTCCTAGTCTCTCTCTACTAGGTGCAGCATGGGGAATCTAATTTCCTTGAACTTTGAGCTATCCCACAAACAAAGTATGCAGAAAATAACTTTTTACACAGACATAGATCTAGAAACATCAAAACTATAATATTAGCTAACGCAGTTGCCATAACTGCTCTATTTTCTTGCTAACATCACACCCAAATCTTGCTCTCTGAAAACCCCATGCAAATGCTACCTCTCCCACGAACTTTTTTTCATGAACGGATTAGAGAAGGAATGACACCTTCCTTTAAACTCCCAACACACTTCATCCCTGTGTTTCTTCAGGATCATAGCTCTTCCTGCCACATAGCAGAGTTATTTGATATTTGTCTCATTTTCCCTTCAGACAAAAAGCTCCTTGAGGGCGGTTCCCTTGTCTTATTTATTTTGTAATCTTGAGGCCCTGGGAGAGGATGTGTTCTGTCCATTTTTGTGAGATGCCTGGATATACTGGCAATTGATATTCTGTGGATGACAACAGCTGGTATGCTCTTGTGGGAAAATAAATCTTCATTTCAGTCTGGATTTCACCATTCAATCTTACTGATATTACTAAATAAGAAAATAATTCAGTTTATCAAACACAAAGATAACATCTGAGTATTCACAGTGAGCTGCTCATAGGTAATATTTAGGAACAAAAAGAAAACAGCCATATGGCCATGTGAACTAGGAGTCAGTTTTTATAACGTGAAGCTTTTATCTCCCTCTCACAAACATCCCATTGGTAATCATTGTTGTTAACAACCACTAGTCTTAATAAACATTTATTATCAACCAAGCAGTGTTTAAGTGTTCTATGCATATTATCTCTCCTTCAATCCTTATAGCAATCTTGTGAAGTAAATAGGATCATATCATAATTCCCATTTACTCCTGAGAAAAATTGATGGTTAAAGAGATTAAATAATATACCCACAGTCACAGAGCTAGTTGGTGGTAGAGTCTGGATTTGAACTCAGGCCATCTAATTCCAGAGTCTGTGCTCTTAACCATTACCCAAGAGGGCCTCCCATTATTGTCATGAAGCTAGCTGCCTGGCAAGCATGCATGCTAAAATTAAGCCTGCAGAGCAATTATTCCATTATTTTAGTTTAATCACACATAAGAGTTTAAATATCTGGTACATATATTTGGGCTTGTACAGATAGTTTCTTCTTAAAATTTAATTCTTCAAAATTAAACTGATTGAAGTATACTTCAGTTATATTACCTTCTCTAATGAAAAAAATAGCAAAAAATTTGTATAAAACAATCCTGTAATGTAACATTTTTTTGTGTGTGTTTAATTCTGAACTCTACTCCTTCCCTGAAACAATCCTGACACTTTTGTGGTAGAAATTTCCCTTAAAGTTTGCCTTATCATGGGCTACACAGAGTTAGAGACTATTTTTCTTTGTGATTTTCAGACAGAAGGTATAACTCAGAGCTCAGAAGGTAGGGAGGTTGCTATCTCAAACTGCAGGGTGAAGGGAGCCATCAAATATGTGTTTATTAGAAAAACTCTCTACTATCTTATTCCTGGGGTCTGTGGATCCAATGGAGAGAAATAAGAGAAACATAATTTCAAATTCGATATCCCAAGTTTGACAGAAGGTCTTTTTTTGCTTATTGGGAAAACAAACAAACAAACAAACAAACAAAAAAAGGACCTGATGCTTTACATGACTTATTGTTAAGGGCATTTGAATCATTTGGGAAAGTGTACACAACTATAATTCAACAGTAGTTATATCTGAGTATATCACACCCACACACAAAATCCATCTGAAGGAGAACACAATTGCCTGTAATATGTGTCTACTCTGTAAGAGTTCTGGTGCTCCAATATGTCTCATTGCACATTTATGCCTTTTGCAATCAATGGGTTGCCTGTAATTATTGATTTTGATATAGTATATTCAGGTGATGGGAGAATTGCCCCAATCCAATGCATGACTTTATGAAGGTGTTAAACCATGAGAATAATATGTTTGTAGCTGCAACCAGTGGGGGCTATGAGAAGGGTTTAAAAGCCAGTCATATTTCACAAGACTCAACTTGCTACACAAGACATAAGAGATTTGTTTACAGATCTCAATGGGAATTTCTCCGTAAGTCTGGTGAAACATGTAGTGTGTGGTTGCACGGCAGCCCGAGATGTCAGGTGAGAGAAAATTTAATTATAACAGATGGCATTAACTATATAAAATTCAGGGGCTCTAGTTTATGTATGAGTAAGCATGGAAGAATTGAGTGTTTGCCTGTATTGCCCCAGAACATGACTAGACTATGTGAGATTATTGTAATTGGTTTCTAATCTAGGGCCAGGTTAGCAGTTTAGAGGGTTATAGGTACATGACAGCTTCTCAGTAGTTAACTAATAATACTCCCTCTGAATGCTTTTCAAAATGGATGTCCCTAAATGTTACAGCTCTTGTACAATTTTTCTAGTAGGTTTTCTGGTTTTTATTGGGAAATCACACCCACTTCCCAACCACCCCCCAGCAAAAAAAAAAAAAAAAAAAAACAGGAAAAGAAAAAAAAAGCATATCCCTAGAGAACACTGGCTTTTCATCATTTTTTTCTACTAAGCTAAATAGTTACTAACCTAAGTTCTTTTGTTACCAGCCCCACCATTCATCCCAGATCATTAACCATATTTGGGTTCATGTTGACTAGCCTAATACCACCATTGTGAATAGAAAGTGAACAATATAAGGAGAATAGAGAAAAAACTTTTTTTTCTAAAAGTCTACAGGTTTTAAATCCAAATTTCTGAAAATTTGCAATAAGTTTTATTTTTAAGTAATTAAAGTAATATATGCTTATTACAGACAAACTGGAAGCTAATTAAAAAAATTAAAAGAATATAAAAATCACTCATAACTCCACCATCCAAAATAGATACTTTAATATTTTAGTACATTTCCTTCTGCTTAATTTTAAGTACTTTTACATTGTCAAAATTATATGGGTTATAATGTTATGTCATTTAAAATTGTGACATATAAGCCAAACATTTTATGAATATAATTTATAATTAAAAGCTATTATTTTATTCTATGAACAGACTATAATTTTCCAAATCATATTCCTTTTTAGAGGATACTAATTTTTTTTTCAGATTACTTTTAGTGTTATGTAGTTATCAGAACATCAGGGGAAAAATATTATTTTTTATTAATTTGCAAGGAGGAGTGAGAATAGAATACAACTTTAGACAAAAAAAAAATGACTCTTATGTTTGAACAAAATATTTAAAAGTCCTTCGGTTTAAAAACTAAGGCAGGTCCAGAGCAAAGTTTAGAATGGGATGTCAAAATTAAGGAATCTAAACAACTCTGCAAAATAAAGTGAAAGTACATTTCCTCTAAAGGAAAGGGTTTTGAAATAAAAAATGATTTGGAGCAGCTCTCTGTGGTCATCAGAGAAAAGTGTTGAGACTGGGGGAAGGAATCCAGGAGGGTGAACTTGCTAGGACTCAAGGAAAAAAGGACAGGGAAGGAGGCTTTGAAAGAAGAGACCAGGGCTCATCAACATGGCCGCAGTGCAGAGCCCAAGGAGAGACTCAGCCAGGAAACAACTCCTGGATGGTCAACAAACTCTAACAGCATGGATGCGGCCCATGCATTTTTAAGTAATTTTCTATCTTGCATTGTAAATCCTTTCCACCACTCTAAATTCTAAATGCTGGAAAAATGATGGAAAAGGCATGAAAATGAACCAGTGAAGCTTACGTGACATACAGAGGCAGAACTGAGATGTCATAGGGATTAAGGAAAGGCCTGCTACAGGGCTTTAGAGCAAGTTATAGCAGAGACAAGGTGGTATAAGTATCTCTTGTCCCCACCTAATTCCGCGATTTACGCATTTTGAAAAGTCACTGGGACTTTCTGCAGTTAATATGGGTGAAAAAAGCTTGGCTTATTTAACTTGCGTATTAAAACTCTGGGTAATCACAGATAGTTGAAGGACCTGGGGATCTTTGGGTTACATGAAAATCAACATATTGGTTTATTTATTCTATATCGGGTATTTTTTCTTGTGTTATATTCTAAAAAGAGAAATGACTAATTCAAGAGCTACGGTTTTACGATTCTTACAGCATGTTACCAAGCTACTTTCTTGCTTACACCAGTTTATAATCCCACAAACACTGGACAAGAATGCCTAAAGATACTGAATATTTTAAGTAAAATATGAAAGAGTAATGTTGTTGCCAATGACATCAAGACGGGTCTAGAGATTTTCTTGGTGCTTACACTCTCTCATTTAAGACTGACAAGGTGCTAAATCAGACATTAAGCAGATGTGATTATTTCTTTATTGAGGGCCTCAGTATCTCATGAAAGAGTGAAACACCCATCACCTTAAATTAATAATGATGAGAAAAAAGGTCTGTTTTTAACCAAAATTGGCCAGTGATGCTTTTAGCTTACCCACAGTTCACACCTCTGGTTTTACTTAAAAGTGAGTAAAGAAAATGTAAATTGTGATTCTTGGTTTTTGCAATTCACTGCAGTATGTCTTCTCCTTCCCCAGGCTCTATTTCCAGAAAAAAAAAAAAAAATCTGACAGCTGAGCATTCTTAAGAAATCACATAATTAAAGAAGGCAAATACAACACTTTGATTATGAGGCACAAATTTACCCACAAATGAATGCTTGAAAAAATAATACACTGGCTTGCTATTTTCTTCATGGGTGTAAACATCAGTGATATTCTGCTAACTGCTTTTTGAAAACATACATGACAGGAAAAGAAATGGTAGCAGGACCCTGGCATTTCCACAAAAGAGTAAGATTTATCTACTCTTTTTAATCAACACTGTTCTTTTGACCAAGCCCAAATCCACATATTCTAAAGCCTACTATTTTCTCTGGTAGTTTAAAAGGTAATAAATATCTATTTGGGCAGCCTGGTGACAGGTTGCAGGTTGCAACTCAGACCAGGAGAGGTTTTCCTAACATTTTATTGAGAAGGTTCTGTTTCTACTAAACACTCTTACTTGGAATAGCTTTTACAGAAAAAAAAAAAAAAAAGAAAGTTGGTTTTTTTAATGCAATATCTAAATAGAAGCGGAAAATAACAAGAAAACAGTATTATTTTTTGGAAACAAACTTTTATTTTGGTCAAAATCTGTATGGCAATACAAGATAATGTAAACAGTTTTGTTTTAGCAAGAACAATTGTCAAAAGTCTAGCAACTTTGAACATTCATAAATCATTTCAGTTCCCTGAGGCTTTTATAAGTCTTGATTGTGCAAAGATAAGAAAGATCTGGCTCAACTCTAGAGACATTTGGTGTTTTGTATTTTGTTTTGTGTCTGAATGATAGATGTGTGAACAGGGGTGGTTACTATGAGTCCCTAATCATGTATTTGGACACATGAATGGGATTTAACAAACCGTCTCACACAGGATCAGCAAATGCCCATGATACCAATCCAGTAATCAAGTTTCCCAGAACCCTAGCTCACAGCTGACCCCTGCCCCACCTCTGCAGGTATAGAAACTGAGGTTACTACATAAAAGAAAGGGCACATCTTAATGTACTCTCCAAATCTCTTTGGGGGCTGTATTAAAACCAATAATTAGGCCCTAAATAATTTTATATATTGTGCTGGGCACAGTGGCTCAGCCTGTAATTCCAGCACTTTGGGAGGCCGAGGCAGGCAGATCACAAGGTCAAGAGTTGGAGACCATCCTGGCCAATATGGTGAAACCCCTTCTCTACTAAGAATACAAAAATTAGGTGGGTGTGGTGGTGTACGCCTGTAATCCCAGCTACTCTGGAGGCTGAGGCAGAAGAATTGCTTGAACCCAGGAGGCCGAGGTTGCAGTGAACTGAGATCACACCACTGCACTCCAGCCTGGGCAACAGAGCAAGACTCTGTCTTGAAAATAATAATAATAATAATAATAATAATTTTGTATATCTATGATTTTTATTTCTTAATATGCCTCCTCCTTCCACCCACCCCTTCCAACTATCCTTCAACTTCTTAGTTTCTTTGATGTTCAGACCCTCAAATGTCATTCATACAAGTGAAGTGGGCCTTCTTCATTTAAAGACACATATTCTTATTAACCTGTTTAAAGTCAGAAAGTAGAAGGATCTCCCGGTTATATTGTCTTACAAGCTATCATTTTCTTTTTGCATTTGCAGAGTATGAATCAGGGAATATATGCCCAAAACATGTCTGTATGGAAACAGTTTCCACTCTTAGCTTTCCATTATGGCTTTGTACAAAACTTAATAAAGAGAGCTACTCTTGTGTAATTTAACTCTCCAGTTCCCCCACCAAAGTTGACTGCTAGGTTTTTTTATGTCACTACATCCATTTGTCCTCACATCATCCTCTTAATCCAGCTTTATGGGATATTTCTGGAAAAGATGAGGACATCCACATTTCTAAAGCCAGGAAAGTTGTGCATAGGAGAGCAGGAGATAGAAAAATTATAATATTTTGCTACATTTTTCTGAGAAATACTTCAAACAGATACTATCTTATTCTTTTATTTGCATATTGCCTGTTTTAAATAATTCAATGTTTTACTTGTGGTGACCTGCCGTTGTTGAAAGTCTTCATCGAGGTATTCAAACTGATAAGAGTAATTCCTTTAAGTTCCTTTGACCTTTTTGCTTTGGGAGGAGAGAATGGTAGACATAAGGGGTTAAAGTAATAGGCAATGATCTAGAAAGATAGGTTATTCAGAGTAACTGCCAGCCTTAGAAATGTGTGGGCCTTAGAAATGTGTGGTACAGGTGCCAGTACAGTAAATACATTTGGTTCCAATTTCTTCACATCATTTATTCTTCTGTCTGACTCTCAGATGACCTTTAGCACAATACTAGAGGTGCCAAGGAAATAATAAAAGTGCCAGGAAGGGACCAACACCCAGCAACAACACAGCAGCTTATGAGTCAATGAAACCTGTTTGATCAGGTCTTTAATGAGAATTCCTACAAGCACCACTGTTTCCATCTCAGAGTCTGGGACTTAAGCAGGGGTTTATTAGCACAACCAACTCCACCTCTCATCTTCTGGAATCAAATGGAAATAATGAGCGATATCATAGATTAAAAGCCAAGTGCATAAAAATGTGAGAGTTTATGTCATTGTATTAGTCCATTTTTCACACTGCTGATAAAGACATACCCAAGATTGGGAAGAAAAAGAGGTTTAACTGGACTCACAGTTCCATAGGGCTGGGGAGGCCTCACAATCATGGTGAAAGGCAAGGAGGAGCAAGTCATGTCTTTCATGGATGGGGGCAGGCAAGGAGAAGAGAGAGCTTGTGTGGGGAAACTCCCCCTTTCAAAACCATCAGATCTCATGAGACTCATTTGCTATCAAAAGAACAGTGCAGGAAAGACGTGCCCCCATGATTCAGTTACCTCCCACTGGGTCCCCTCCCAGAACACATGGGAATTCAAGATGAGATTTGGGTGGGGACACAGACAAACCACATCATTCTGCTCCTGGCCCCTCCCAAATCTCATGTCCTCACATTTCAAAACCAATGGTGCCTTCCCAACAATTGCCCAAAGTCTTTTATTATTATTATTATTATTATTATTATTATTATTATTATTATACTTTAAGTTTTAGGGTACATGTGCACAATGTGCAGGTTAGTTACATATGTATACATGTGCCATGCTGTTGTGCTGCACTCATTAACTCGTCATTTAGCATTAGGTATATCTCCTAATGCTATCCCTCCCCTCTCCCCCCACACCACAACAGTCCCCAGAGTGTGATGTTCCCCTTCCTGTGTCCATGTGTTCTCATTGTTCAATTCCCATCTATGAGTGAGAACATGCAGTGTTTGGTTTTTTGTCCTTGCGATAGTTTACTGAGAATGATGATTTCCAATTTCATCCATGTCCCTACAAAGGACATGAACTCATCATTTTTTATGGCTGCATAGTATTCCATGGTGTATATGACAATTGCCCAAAGTCTTAACTCATTTCAGCATTAACTCAAATGTCCACCATCCAAAGTCTCATCTGAAACAAGGCAAGTTCCTTCCATCTGTGAGCCTGTAAAATCAAAAGCAGGTTAGTTACTTCCTAGATACAATGAGGGTACAGGCATTGAGTAAATGCAGCCATTCCAAATGGGAGATATTGGCCAAAACAAAGGGGCTACAGGCCCCATGCTAGTCTGAAATTTAGGAGAACAGTCAAATCTTAAGGCTCCAAAATGATTTCCTGTGACTCCACGTCTCACATCCAGGTCTTGCTGATGCAAGAGGTGGGCTCCCATGGCCTTGGGCACCTCTGCCCCTGTGGCTTTGCAGGGTGTAATCAAAAGCAAGTTGCTGCTTTCATGGGCTGGCATTGAGTGTCTGCAGCTTTTCCAGGCATATGGCACAAGCTGTCAGTGGATCTACCATTCTGGGGTCTAGAGGTTGGTGGCCCTCTTCTCACAGCTCCACTAGATGATGCCTCAGTAGGGACTCTGTGGGCGCTCCCACCCCACATTTCTCTTTATCACTGCTGTTGTGGGAAGTCAGGGACCCTGAACAGGTTCCCCCGATACACTGCCTTAGCAGATTCTCCATGAGGGCCCTGCCACTGCAGTAAACTTCTGCCTGGGCATCAAGGCATTTCCATATCCTCTGAAATCTAGGCAGATGTTCCCAAACCACAATTCTTGACTCCTCTGCATTTGCAGGCTCAACACCACATGGAAGTTGCCAAGTCTTGGGGTTTGTACCCTCTGAAGCAATGGCCAGAGCTCTACATTGGCCCCCTTCAGCCGTGGCTGGAGTGGCTGGTACTCAGGACACCAAGTCCCTAGGCTGCACACAGCACAAGGACCCTGGGCCCATGAAACCATTGTTCTTACTAGGCCTCCAAGTCCATGATGGAAGGGGCTGCAGTGAAGACCTCTAACATGCCCTGGAGATATTTTCCCCATTGTCTCGGGGATTAACATTCAGCTCATTACTTATGCAAATTTCTGCATCTGGTTTGGATTTCTCCTCAGAAAATGGGATTTTCTTTTCTATCACATTGTCAGGCTGCAAATTTTCCAAATTCTTATGCTCTGCTTCCTTTATAAAACTGAATGCCTTTAACAGCACCCAAGTCATCTCTTGAATGTTTTGCTGCTTAGAAATTTCTTCCACCAGATACCCTAAATCATCTCCGTCAAGTTCAAAGTGTCACAAATCTCTAGGGCAGGGGCAAAATGGCACCAGTCTCTTTGCCCAAACATAACAAGAGTCACCTTTGCTCTAGTTCCCAATAAGTTCCTCATCTCCATCTGAGACCACCTCAACCTGGACTTTATTGTTCATATCACTATCAGTATTCCTGTCAAAGCCATTCAACAAGTCTCTATGAAGTTCCAAACTTTCCCACATTTTCCTGTCTTCTTCTGAGCCCTCCAAAATGTTCCAACCTCTACCTGTTACCCAGTGCCAAAGTTGCTTCCACATTTTCAGGTATCCTTTTAGCAATACACCACTCTGCTGATACCAATTTACTGTGTTAACCTGTTTTCATGCTGCTGATAAAGACATACCCAAGACTGGAAAGAAAAAGAAGTTTAATGGACTTACACTTCTGCATGGCTAGGGAGGACTCACAATCATGGTGGAAGGCAAAGAGAAGAGAGAGCTTGCCCAGGGAAATGCCCATTATTAAAACCATCAGATCTCGTGAGACTCATTCACGATCAGAAGAGCAGCACAGGAAAGAAGTGCCCCCATGATTCAATTACCTCCCACTGGGTCCGCCCCACAACACATGGGAATTCAAGATGAGATTTGGGTGGGCACACAGTCAAACCGTATCAGTCATCTTCAGATACTGCATCCCATCGGTATCCCAGAACTGTTACCTAAATACATACTAAATATTTGGGCAGTACAGAGCAAATGATCTTGGAGAACAATTCTTCTGTAGATAAGACAGGCCTTACTAGACAGACCACACTGACGGGACAACCCGTATATAAACACAAACAGGTCCAAAGTCATAGTTGATACTGCTTTTGTTTCGTCTAGAGATGGAGCCCTTATAAAATTTAGACAGGTGAAATGTTAACATACTGATTCACATCAAGAAAGCCAGTGTAGGAATATCTCATCTCCACCTACACATGTGCACACACACACACACACAAACACATACACCACACATGATTTTTATTTTATACTTCTCTTGAGAGAGTGGTGACAAACTGTCATTTTTATCAAAGTCCCTATTCAATCAACATACAGAGCTTTCCAAAGGTATTTAAAGGTTAGGTGTTCTGTAATTGTTGTTTTACACATATTTACATCAACCATAGCAAGACCATTTTGCATTCCTCTTGAGAGGCAAGAATTGCAGTGTGCCCTTGTTCATGTTTAGTACCTCTTCTGGCAGCGTTTCTATTTCAGTGATACCTGGAACCATCAGTTGAGAGGCTCCTGGAAGCCAAGATCTTGCTTTTAGCCTGTAATTCATTTTCATTTCCTTTCATTTTACTTAAATGTGCTTAAACTGTTGAACAGAACGTACTATTACTTGTAAACCTGAGAGCCTTTAACCCAGAACTCTCTAATTTAATTTTCTCTACCACCACAGAGGAAAAATAGAAGTACAAAAATGAAAAACATTGTTACATTAGCTCACACAACCTTGCAAAGATTTTCATTTGTTTGTTTAAGAAGAGGGCTGAGCAGAAAATCTCAACATACTACCTAAGTTACATCAAATCTCTGCTTCTGAAACTGACAACAGATCTAACCTGCCAGAGGGAAGAAATAATAGGAGACGGCACCAGGAAATGGATTTGTCATTCTTACTTGGGGGTGAGGTGGGGCAGGGAATAAAACACCTAAGCAGTTCATCATCTTACATTTGAACTTTCCAACAAATTATGAACCCACAAGTTTAGTTTTGAAGATAATAAAATTGGCATGCACAAAAGGAATCCCATATAATTATCGATACAGAATAGCAGGTCTCTTCCATGACTAAAATAAATCAGACTCACCGCTCTTCATGGATGTTCAGTGCTCTTGAGACTGGAACTGTATTTCCTAGGAAAATGAATCAGAATCATAGAAATGCAGAGCTAAAAGGGAACTTAGAGGTCAGCTAGTTCCTTCCTATACAGCTGTTCAGCAATGGAGTCTGCACTCAACTTCACAGGTCCTGATTTCTTGTCAAGCACTCTCCTCAAGGTGCCTTTCTTTCAATTATGTATTCGTATTTGTTTGTTTGTCTTGTTTTGTTTTAAATGCCAGTGTGTCCCTTCTTTATTTCTTGACCCTATTTCCCATTATTGAATACCATAACTCTTTACCTAGATGAAATTAACATAGATGTGTTTAAGTCTTCATATGGTAATGTCAAAAACAGTCAAGACCTTGGTATCTTCAACAAATTATAGCACAGTTCGAGTTTGGTTCATTCACAAGGAATCTGGCTGAGCGTCATAATTGTCTATTTGTTACCCTGATGCAGGACTGCTTCTCCAGGCAACAATTTTGCCAAAGCAATACGATTTGGATATTGAGGGGGAGAAAGAGCTGCTATCTTTACTGTTGTTTTCCTTCTTTGAGCCATGCTTTGCAATCTTCGGTTTCCTCATCTCTTGTTGGAGTGGGTAACAACTAAATTTGGGTACTTCCCTTATCAAGTTTCCTGCCCAGGTGTCTGTCAGGACGCAGAGTTCCACAGCATGCATCAATGGCTGTCGTCAACAAGGGTCCACCTGACATGTTCATTCAACATAGAAGTCCTCAAGAATGCAAGGCCACAGTGCATCCATAGTTCAGTCAGTTCCTATGATAACTAAAGGAATTAAAATATATTTGAGACCTTGAATGTTCCTAAGCATACCACAATCAGAAATAAAAGTTAGCACAGTAAGAAAAGAACACAAAATAACAAGGATTTATCTGTAGTATACAGTTATATCTCTGCTGTTTTAAAATTTGCCTGTGAAACAATGCAGAATCTTTTATCCTCTCTCTCATATTCAAAATATTTTCTCTATGCATTCCCATCTTAAACATACCCTGATAAATCTTCTTTTTGGTATTTTTTTGTTGTTCTTTCTGTCTCTCTTGGTCTTAGCTTTATCATACTATCCTTCTCTCATTGCTGGTCTATATGCAAAACTTCTCTGCCATAAGACACTGGAATGACTTATGAATTCCACTCCCTGAGTAATGCCTTTGGGTCAAGCTTCCAAGACCCCAGTCAGGCAACCAAACAAGACAGCTGATGAGACTTGGGAATATCTTCCCCAACATGGATGATACTGTCAACTCCCAACAGGGTCAGTTACAAGGAAATGCTTCACGTTGGTTCTTCTCACTTCCCTCAGTTTCTCCTGATGTCATTTTTGTAGACTAGCGAGATTTTCAGCTTTAGAAACATGGTGTGATCCAAAGAAAAACTGGGCCTACTTTCAATTGCATATCCCACTCTTCCTGATCCTGCATCTGCCCTGACAGCCTCACAACCATCCCTACTCCCTCTGTCCAATGGAGTCTGGTCACTGCAACCCAAGGCCAAGCCAGGGTCTGTGCAGCTGGTCCCTCAGTGCCCCCGTTCTTGTCCTCAGAGAAGGGAGGCACAGAATTCTCTATAGTCAGGTTTCCTTTTACTTAACTGCAGGAATAACTCTCATCCTAACCCAGACCAGAAGATTCAGAAAAGTCTTTGGCTCTCCCAAAGGCAAGTAGAGCATTTATAAAACATTCTTCTCAGTCAGTCTGAGCATCCTAGGCTACCCCAGGCCACATCTCTTCAGCTACTGTCACTCTGTGCCCATGGTTGCTTGTTTTTGTTAAGGAAAAGCAATGAAGGAAGGAAGGGAAAATGGCAGAATCAGAAATCTGCCAAAGAATGAAGACACTGCTTAGAATTTCTTAATAAGGATAAATTAATGAAAGCAATTTACTGAGTGTTTTCTGTATGTCACCATTGATGAGGTTTTATGGGTATGATATCATAATTTGGCTGTCTTTGACCTGCCCCTCCTGGCCATTCTAAATTCTGCAGACATTATGCAGACATCTTGCCAGCTAAGAGAGCTGAATGCCAAAGGCCTGCTTTATTTGGGCAGAAATCAAAAGGCCTTGTGGGCTTAAGGAAAGGCAGGCACAGTTACTTTCCCCAAGTCCACACTGTTCAGCTGTGGCTAGAATCTGTTTGTAAATATAGCTGGAGCTTGAACTAACCTCCATCACCCCCCAAAGATAAATGAATTTCTAAGCATGTTTGTACTTACAAATGCATAGCATTATACACTTCTTGCCACCTTAATCCCTATTAAACTAATCTGAAGTCATGTCAGGCCATCCGTCCGTAGTCAAATGTATTAGACAAGCCAATTGATCAAATATAGGAATAGACCAAAAGCTTTTCCATCTGGCACCCATGCATTTAAAGCGTCATTTCACACCAGTATTTGTTGTTTTTCATTCTTTTGGGCTTCAGCATATTCACAAATGAAACCAGTTCCTTGAGAATGATGACTTTTAAAACTAAGGCAGAGGCTGAAATCTGTATACTTCTTCAACACATACGAAGAAAACAAAAATATGGCAATACTACGAACTGTGTTTTAAAGAACTACTGACATTTCATGAAAAATAAATTGGAAAACATTCAACTTAAATAATTTGGCATCCACCCCTATATTTTCCTTTATCCCTGCTATGCAGGACAATGGAAATCTTCAGGGATTTGGCAAAATTGGTGGTGACTGAATCCAAATAATACAATATTTTTACAGTAGTTCCTTTGTGTTTTCATTTTGCCTTGACTATTTCCCTGTGTGTTAATGCCAGCACTGAATGGACAGATCTGAAACGCTTTATTAGTTTCATAGACTGCAAATGGCATTACCAACACTGGAAGGTGTCAAAGAGTAGGTGCCTCACCACATCTCATATTTCAAAACATATTGATTTGGCCTTTATTTAAAAGAATACTATACTCATTTGTGCTTCACATTGGCTTGTGCCACCTGTTTTTGGTTTTTTTTGGAGGGGGAGGGGTAAATCTGGCTGTGTGGTGGTTTTTTTGTTTGTTTTATTTTGTTTTTTTCTGGTCTTCCAACCTCTAAGCTCTCTGTCCTTTAGCCAATTCACTCTGCTAACAAAATCTTGAATCACTGTATCACTACCTTCTCCCAAGACACTCATGAGGACTCTATTGCCTTTCAAACGAAAACTATAGTTTATGACTAACTATATGGGTGTGTATATCCATTGTGGTCAACCCCATTTCCTAACTTATTTCTAAACCCTCTTCTTTCCATCTGTCTTGATTCCCAAATCCATTCTCAAAGGAATGTCTTCCCACATTATTATGGGTTTTGTCATGCATTTTCAAATGGCAAGAAGTTTTCACGACTGTGTAAGTCAGGCAATATGGAAAGGCTAAATTATTTGGGGAGGAGGAGAAAGGAAGGGTTAATAATCAATATTTTAAACAAATAAAATTATTTTTTAGCCAGTTGCTAAACTCAGAGACATACCCTCACCCCAAAAAGTCATGAAATAGTTAAAACGCAAGTCCCAAGTGTGGCCCCTGGTGACAGCTTAAGCTCCCTCTGCTGATAGAGCTTGGTGAATAGATGGGGCCTGGGAGGTTCCTAGAGAATAATGGTATGTCACGTGGCTCAGGAAGCTCTGTGGAGGTGGCACTCAGAACAGAAGTTTTATTCTCCTTGTAGAAAGTTAAGAATTGAAATGGCTCCCATCACTTCTGCGTGTAGATCAAGAAGATATTCCCGGGCAGCTTTGCCAGACATATTTGGCAGGGCAATCTCTGGAAGCAAGCTGCACCCCTTCAATGTCAGCATTTGTTCAGTGGTAGAAATAGCTACAGCTGGAGGACTTTATTTGAAGAAAATTCTGTACTTTAAAACGTGAGCAATTGTTGAAGGATACTTAGACTTCTCAGCAGTGGATCTATCCAGCAGGGAACATGGAAAGGGTAGATCTGGCTAGGACACATTTCATTATGGGCCCAAAAAAAGAGTGAGTGGCAGGTCAGTGAAAGAAAAAGTCTATTCCAGAGCTTAGTGGATGCATCATCCTTTGCCTAAGAGATTCGGTAAAGAGGGTTGGCCATTGACACTGAAATCATACATTTATCTCTATATTATTCAAAGTTGCCATAAATTGTTTTAGTAAACTATATAGGCTTTATTTCACAATGCTGATTCAGATCTCAACTCCTTATTTTCATTACCCCTGTAAAGACCAGGTTTAAATTGTCTCCTTTATTATATTTAAAGAGAAAGAACTACCTGGGTTCAAATTCTGGTTCTGCTACTTATAATCTCTATAACCTTATATAAATAACTTAAGCTTTGTAAGCCTCAGATTTTATAACATTAGATAAGAATAGGATTCATCTCATGGTTGTTTGAGGATTAAATGGCAAGCACCATGTCTGGAACAAAGTAAGTGTTCCTTTGTTTATTTGACAAATACTTGTCTTAGGGCTGTGAAAACAAGAAGTCATTTGAAAAAGCTGGAACCAAGGCTGGCTTCATGAGTGTCCGACCTGGGTAGTCATACAGCACCCAGAGGCCAGAAGGCTTCTGTGCTTGGTTGTACGCTCTGTGGTTACAGTCTTGAAATGCTTATGAATTTTGTCTTTAAACTCGTGTTTTGAAAGTGAAGTCTGTAGATATGTGGCATTGTTTCTGAGGGCTCTATTCTGTTCCATTGGTCTGTATCTCTGTTTTGGTACCAGTACCATGCTGTTTTGGTTACTGTACCCTTGTAGTATAGTTTGAAGTCAGGTAGCATGATGCCTCCAGCTTTGTTCTTTTGGCTTAGGAATTGACTTGGCGATGCGGGCTCTTTTTTGGTTCCATATGAACTTTAAAGTAGTTTTTTCCAATTCTGTGAAGAAAGTCATTGGTAGCTTGATGGGGATGGCACTGAATCTATAAATTACCTTGGGCAGTATGGCCATTTTCACGATATTGATTCTTCCTACCCATGAGCATGGAATGTTCTTCCATTTGTTTGTATCCTCTTTTATTTCATTGAGCAGTGGTTTGTAGTTCTCCTTGAAGAGCTCCTTCACATCCCTTGTAAGTTGGATTCCTAGGTATTTTATTCTCTTTGAAGCAATTGTGAATGGGAGTTCACCCATGATTTGTCTCTCTGTTTGTCTGTTACTGGTGTGTAAGAATCCTTGTGATTTTTGCACATTGATTTTGTATCCTGAGACTGCTGAAGTTGCCTATCAGCTTAAGGAGTTTTTGGGCTGAGACGATGGGGTTTTCTAGATATACAATCATGTCATCTGCAAACAGGGACAATTTGACTTCCTCTTTTCCCAATTGAATACCCTTTATTTCCTTGTCCTGCCTGATTGCCCTGGCCAGAACTTCCAACACTATGTTGAATATGAGTGGTGAGAGAGGGCATCCCTGTCTTGTGCCAGTTTTCAAAGGGAATGCTTCCAGTTTTTGCCCATTCAGTATGATATTGGCTGTGGGTTTGTCATAGATAGCTCTACAACCATCTGATCTTTGACAAACCTGACAAAAACAAGAAATGGGGAAAGGATTCCCTATTTAATAAATGGTGCTGGGAAAACTGGCTAGCCGTATGTAGAAAGCTGAAACTGGATCCCTTCCTTACACCTTATACAAAAGTTAATTCAAGATGGATTAAAGACTTAAATGTTAGACCTAAAACCATAAAAATCCTAGGAGAAAACCTAGGCATTACCATTCAGGACATAGGCATGGGCAAGGACTTCATGTCTAAAACAAGAGCAATGGCAACAAAAGCCAAAATTGAGAAATGAGATCTAATTAAACTAAAGAGCTTCTGCACAGCAAAAGAAACTACCATCAGAGTGAACAGGCAACCTACAGAATGGGAGAAACTTTTTGCAGTCTGCTCATCTGACAAAGGGCTAATATCTAGAATCTACAATGAATTCAAACAAATTTACAAGAAAAAAACAAACAACCCCATCAAAAAGCGGGTGAAGGATATGAACAGACACTTCTCAAAAGAAGATATTTATGCAGCCAAAAGACACATGAAAAAATGCTCATCATCACTGGCCATCAGACAAATGCAAATCAAAACCACAATGAGATATCATCTCACATCAGTTAGAATGGCGATCATTAAAAAGTCAGGAAACAACAGGTGCTGGAGAGGATGTGGAGACATAGGAACACTTTTACACTGTTGGTGGGACTGTAAACTAGTTCAACCATTGTGGAAGTCAGTGTGGCTATTCCTCAGGGATCTAGAACTAGAAATACCATTTGACCCAGCCATCCCATTACTGGGTATATACCCAAAGGATTATAAATCATGCTGCTATAAAGACACATGCACACATATGTTTACTGTGGCACTATTCACAATAGCAAAGACTTGGAACCAACCAATGTCCATCAATGATAGACTGGATTAAGAAAATGTGGCACATATACACCATGGAATACTATGCAGCCATAAAAAATGATGAGTTCATGTCCTTTGTAGGGACATGGTTGAAGCTGGAAACCATCATTCTCAGCACACTATCGCAAGGACAAAAAACCAAACACCGCATGTTCTCACTCATAGGTGGGAATTGAACAATGAGAACACTTGGACACAGGAAAGGGAACATCTCACACTGGGGCCTGTTGTGGGGTGGGGGGAGGTGGGAGGGATAGCATTAGGCGATATACCTAATGTTAAATGATGAGTTAATGGGTGCAGCACACCAACATGGCACATGTATACATATGTAACTAACCTGCACGTTGTGTACATGTACCCTAAAACTTAAAGTATAATAATAATAAAAAAAAGAAAGTGAAGTGTGATAGGACAATACAGCATGTGTGAGCAAAGGAGAAAGATGCAATATGTGTGTTCACAGTTCCCGGAAGCCCCATCACATACAATGTGATGCCCCATGAGCAAAGAGCCCTAGAGGACTCACAATGCACAGGAGCTTGGTGAGACTCAAAGCATGTACAAGGTAAGCTTGCAACGTCTTCAGCTGACAGCCCTGGTAGGTCGCAGTTTCTGTTTGAACCAGGATTTGCTTAGAAGACAGAAGAAGGCAGTGGTGTTCTAAGAAACACAAATGGTCCAGGAACCTTATCATATCTTTCTTACTTGTATTGCTTCCCCATGTTAGCCAACCATTTAGGCTGAAAAGAGTGGCATAACAAGAAAGGAAAAGATGAGGCAACCCACAGTTCCTTTTCCTTTTATTTCTACCTTTACTCTTTGAGTAATCCAAAAATAGAGTATTGGCAGAATGTGTATGTATTACAAAGTGAAAAATGTATCAGTTGAGTTAGCTTTGTATATAGTTGCCACTGTTCTGGTAAGTACAAAATACATATGCACATAGGAGCCACAAAATAGGAATTGTGTAATTCAGTAATTCCACATATGAGTTCAACGTTCTTATCTCTGCCTTTAAAACTGGCCTTGCATAATATAAAGATGAACAGTAACATTTATATGAATAATTTAAAATGCTAATTTTTCTTTACCTAGAATGACATTAAAGAGCAAATAAACACCATAACAAGTTGAGATAGAGATCACAGAATAAAGAAAAATAAAACGCTTTATATTTTAGAATCTTAGCAGCCCTTTTTGCTGCTTTTTAAACAAGGAGCCACAGATAGAACTTACGTAGAAAAGATCAGCACCAACTACATGAATATTCTAAAGGGAATCTACAAACAAAGAAAAAATTTGATGACGTTTAGTGTGGAAGGGCATAAGATGTCAATTAATTAAAGTACTTCTGGAAAGGTTGAATGGGAATCTGATGCCACATTTGAGACAACTAGAAATGACAAACTAATCAACTCACCTAATTAGACAACTGACAAGTATGAGAAGTGAAATGAAAAAGCCAAGCCAAAATAGTCAGTAGTCTATACAAATACTAATAGCATAAATAATACAAAGGGATCACTCTAAATGCTTGGCAGAAAGAGCAAAACCTTGAGATAAACTCACTAAAGACTTGATGCATGAGAGGAACCAGTTAGATGTGCTATTTATTTACCAACTCTAAAGAAAAATTCGGAAGTTACGTGCGTGGGAAGTTCTTATTTGGACCATTGATCTTTTCCCACTTCTGAGGAGTTTTGTTTCAGTAAGCATGTGACTTTCTTAAAATTTCCTAATTTTTTAAAAGCAAAACTTTGTAGTATCTACCTCCTTTGGTGAAGATTAAATTAACTGGGATAGTTTATTTTAAAAGGACAACAGAGCTTTATGGAGTTTTGCATGAGGAAGTCAGCTAGCTCACCCTCCAGCCAAGTGACAGTTTTCAAACCAGCCTGGAGGCACTTAGGATTCAAATTCTCTCTTAGGAAAAGAAAGATTTGCTACAAGGATGTTCATTGTCACATTATTTTATTCACAATAAATAAATAAATATCTAAACAGGTAACCAATTAAGCACATCTTGACGCATTATGCAATGGAATTCTATGTATTTATAAAAATTATATTGTAGAAGAATATTTAGTGGTTTCAAAAGACTATGATATTTTGAGTACAAAAAGTAAATTACACAACATTATTTATAGTATGATCTCATTTTTCTTATATATAGTTTCATTGAAAAAAACGCACAAAAGAAATTATATACATTCAAGTGTTCACAGGGGTTTATCTCTCAGGATACATTGTAATTAATATTTATTTCATTTTTCTGCTTCTACATTGTATACCATAAGCAAATTTTAGTTTTGTGTTTTCCAAAGAAAAAAATATTTATCTTACATTTTTAAAAGTTAATAAAATGTGCCTCAGTGTAGTTACATATGACTTGTTACATGACTTACAAGTTACATGTCTTTCAGGGCTATTTACACATACCACAACTGTAAATATCAGATCCACAATGACCTAGAGCCTGGGTGTCCAATCTTTTGGCTTTCCTGGGCCACATTTGAAGAAAAAGAATTGTCGACCGGGTACAGTGGCTCATGCTTGTAATCCTAGCACTTTGGCAGGCCAAGGCCGGTGGAGCATGAGGTCAGATGTTCAAGATCAGCCTGGCCAACATGATGAAACCCCATCTCTACTAAAAATACAAAAAAAAATTAGCCTGACATGGTGGCAGGTGCCTGTAATCCCAGCTACTCAGGAGGCTGAGGCAGGAGAATCACTTGAACCCAGGAGGCAGAGGTTGCAGTGAGCCGAGATCGTGTCACTAAACTCCAGCCTGGGTGACAGAGCAAGACTCCGTCTCAAAAAAAAAAAAAAAATTGTCTTGGATGACACATAAAATACACTAACACTAATGATAGCTGATGAGAAAAAAAAACTCAAAAAAACTTCATAATGTTTTGAGAAAGTTTACGAATTCCTCTGTTGGGCCACATTCAAAGCCATCCTGGGTCACAGGCGGCCCATGGGCTGAGGGTTAGACAAGCATGGCCTAGAGTTTCCTGCATGAGTTGCACACCTGAATGGCTGGAGGGCCTTAGCAAAGATAGTGGGTGCCTAGAGAACATGCCCTTTCAAAAGACATTAAAATTCAAAATTTGTTAAAACACTGCAGACCAAACAGAATGTGTCTCATCTGTACCGCTAACTCTCCTATATTCAAAAATTAGTCCTTGACCTCCCCTTCCCCTCCAGTTCCTTTCCCGTAATTCTGTTCCACTTTTGCTTTCCTATAGAATTTCTATACTTTTGTATATTTTCTTTTTCTCTTTTTTTCTTGATCTATCAACATTTGTCACAGTTGATCACTCTTCCTTGGAGCATGTTTTCAAGGCTTCATTAGTTTCCTTCCTACCTCACTGATCATTAGCAGTTACTTTACAGGTTTCTCCTCTTTTCTGCTTAATATAGAAGTTCCCAGGGCTCAGCCCTCAGACCTCTTCTCTGCCTTGATGCTCCATCTCTTCTTGACATTCCCCAGTATCACAGTTGGAGAACTGTCTATACCCTGAAGACAAAAAGATTTCTATCTCCAACCAACCCTTTTACCTGAATCCTAGTTTTCATATCCAGTGGCCTAAGTAACATCTCTATTTGCACCTAACAAACATCTCAAGGTTACCATGTGCCAAACTAAATTCCTAAGTTTGATGAAACTGCAAGTCATAGAAACTTCATTACTCCATTTTCCCAGACTAGTAAATTTTGGAGCAATCCTCTATTTGTCTCACACTCTGTCCCCAAGTCATCAGAAAATCTTGCAGTCTCTACTTCCAAATTATATCCATTATCTGATGACTTCTCACTCTCAACCCAGCAGTTGAGTGACTTCAGTCAGATCATGTCACTCACCTGCTCAAAACCTCCAACAGCTCTCTATTTCTAACAGATTCAAAACCAGGGTCCTGACCTATACTATCGGGCCCTCTCTGACCTCTCCGACTTGGTCTCTCACTACTTCTCTTTTGTTGACTCTACTCTGCCATCCTGACTTTGCTATTCTTTGAAAATAGCAGGTATGTCTCTACCTCAGGGATTTGGGCCTTTTTCTTCTGCATGAAACGTTCTTACACTGGCCTGGCTTGTTTTCATACTTCCTTCGGGTCTTTGCTTAAATATCACCTTTTCAGTGAGGTTCACCCTGCCCATCTAATTTAAAATTGCACATACACAAACCCCAGCACCCTGAATCCTTGTTATCCTCATTTAGTTTTCTTTACAGTGCTGAGAATCTTCTAACATACCTTATATTTTACTTATTTTTCTTGCTTATTGCCTTGCTTACCCTCTAGAATATAAAATCCATGAGCACAGAAATTTGTGTCTTTTTGGTTGAATGCTTTACCTCAGAGCCTTAAGCAGTGCCTAGAAGATAGTGATAAAAAATGCTTCCTGAATGAATTAACCAATTTGTGATACTTGAACTACTGTATATTTTATAATCTCATCCAGATTGTCAGTATCTTAAGAAAAGAATGGATACCTCACATCTCTCTGTAAAAAATGCGTATACTGTTGATGAAAATGGCAACAGAAATGATGCTAAAAGATAGCAATAGTGAAACAAACTTGTCATAAGAAAGAAACAACCTAAAATTGCTGTTGGTGAAAGTTCCATACTTAAATAATGTGTATGTGCTAATGGAGCTAAATATATTTAGTGGAATAGGGAAAGCATCAGAATTTATCTTAGTAGTTTTAATAGAGCATTTTAAATTGGAAATAAAGTAGATGACTCTTTCTTGTGAAAGCAAAAGTAAAGGGAATGTACTAGGCTTCCTAAATAGTAAATAAAAACCAATAGAGGTGATACCTCTGTATGAATCACTTACTGAACTCTCATTTTACAAAACCATATCACATAGTATTGTTCACTGGGTGTTTGGATCTCAGTAGGTATCTGGATCTCCATTATGTAGCCAATTCTTACGGTTCTATTGCTACCAGTTCCACTATCATTTTTCACTATACAGTTGCAATAGATTAGTGGTTTTAGAAGCAGTAATTTTGTTTTCAGGAAAATACTTTCTCCTGGGAAATCAGACAGAGCTATTAATACAATCTAAAGAAATTAAAGCTGAAAAATGTTTGCAAATACACATGGTGTGAGTTTATTTTAGCTATATATATATATTTACAGATACATAAAAATGTATGAAAAAACAAACTCTAAACTGATGATAATGGTCACCCCTGGAGATTGAAGTGGTGGTGACGAATGCAGGGGGAATAATTAGGAGACAGGGGATAAATATTTTTCACTTTTTACTTGTATATGTCCTAACGCTTAAAGTTTTAACAAGGAGTACATTTTCTAATTAAAGGTAAAGTAGAAATGTTATGACTATTCATCTAAATAGTGCTCCCAGCATCCAGAATGAGTCAGGAATGTGTTCCAGCAGACTGGGGCACCTTGAAGTCAGGTAGTCAAACAAAGGCAGTGAAGCCATTACCTTCAGTGCTTTCTTGTAGTATTTTTCAGTGGATATTGGTCCTGGGATGGAAGTTTAAAACAGTAATGTTTCCTGAATCCAGGGTTGTCACAGCCTGGTTGGGTAAGTGACAAATATTGTCTCAGAAGTTGCCTGAAGAATTCTGCTGCCTTTTCATCTGCCTCTGCAGCCAATGCTTCTGAATTTAGAGTCCTCACATGCGTTTGGCCAGGCTCCTCAATAGATACCATTGACAGGAGTGTCTTCTTCAGAAGGTGTAGCAAGCTTAATGATGACCCCTAACATATATGTCTACACCCTAATTCCAGGAACTTGTGAATATTACATTATGTGGCAAAAGATGTGACTAAGATTCTTGAGGGGGCCAGGCGCAGTGGCTCATGCCTGCAATCCTAGCACTTTTGGAGGCTGAGGGAGGCAGACTGCTTGAGCCCAGGAGTTTGAGAGCAGCCTGAGCAACATAGTGACACCCTGTCTATACAAAAAATAAAAAAATTAGCCAAGCATGGTGGCATGTGCTTGTAGTCCCAGCTACTCAGGAAGCTGAGGTGAGAGGATCACTTGATCCTAGGAGGTCAAGATTGGAGTGAGCCATGACTGCACTACTGCACTCCAGCCTGAGCAACAGAGGGAGACCCTGTCTCAAAAACAAACAAACAAACAAAAAAGATTCTTGAGTTTATCCTGGATTATCTGGGTGAGCCCTAAATTCAATCACGTGTATCCCTATATATATCCTTACAAGAAAGAGACAAAGGGAGTTTTGGTAACAAGCACACAGAGGAGAAGGTGATATGTAGATGGAGGCAGAGATTGAACTGATACCACCACACGCCAAGGAAGCCAAGAAATGCTGACACTCACCAGAAGCTAGAAAAGGCAAGGAATGGACTATTCTCTAAAGTATCCAGAGGGAGCATAACCCTGACTACATCTTGATTTCAGACCTGTGGCCTCTGGAACTCTAAGATAGTACATTTTTCTTGTTTTAAACCATCAAGTTGGTGGTAAATTTTTACGGTAGCCACAGAAAACTAATGCAGCTGGATAGTGCAGAATCCGAGAGTGAAATATCAAATCACTAAATGACTCAGTCCCAAGCTCCATGTTGAAGGAATATACCACTCCTGTCTTCTATATGCTGAGCATCGCCAATGGGCATGGACATTTGTATGGTGTCCAAAAATCTCTTAGATGATGCACGATAAGTGCATTACATCATTGATCCTAACCACTTTCCTAAGTTCTACCTTTTTCTTGTTTTTCAGGTAAATAAACTGAAACATAGAAAGATGTTCAAAGTCAAAACTATATATGCTAGAAGCTGGATTCTATCCTATGCAGTCTGTCTTTAAAAAACAAGTTCTAAACTACTAATATTCTATTGATTGACTTACAGTAAAGCATATCAGAAAAGAATAATATTGTCCAATATAAGTAATCAAGAAAACCAGTAAAGTACTATAAAATTGTTATCTCTTTTTTCTCATTATGTCTAAAGAAAAAGAATGATTAGGAAAAAAAGGAAGCATAAGGAGAAGAGACAGAGTAATTTCAAAAGAGTTTAAAGTACTTCTGAGAATTTTGTTATTATTTCCTTTGAGTCTCTTTTCTTTCAAAAAACGTTTTGTAGGGAAGACTAGGTATGTCATTTTTCTGAAGTTATGTCCTTAATAAATTGTAGATTGTGGATGGATCAGCTGGGGTTGTCTCGGCTAATGCCTCTACAAGCTTGCATAATCATGCTTCCTCATTTTTTTCTTATGCTTCTACCTTTCTTTCACGCAAATGCCAGTCTTTTCTATGTAGCCTATTTTTTTTCTCACCAAAACAAAATAGCTGCAAAGCCCTAGATCCTAAGGATGTTTTCAAAAACTTTTAATTGTGGAAAATCTCAAATATATACCGAAGTATATATTTCGGTATATGAAATGATATAACAGACCTAACACACCTATCACTAAGCTTCAACAGTTACCAGTAAATTAACACATTGCCAATCTTTTCTCCATAATTTTGAAGCAAATCTCAAACATTTTATTACTTCTTCTGTATTTTATTATTTATCTCCAAAAACTAAGAATTTATCTGCATAATCATACCTACCATATGATGATCACACTTAGAAAATTAGTTATTTCATGATAAGATCAAACATCCAGTCAACATTCCCATTATTCTGATTGGAGTATATTAAATGTATACATTAACATAGGTAAAAACTGACATCTTTATGATGCTGAGACTTGCTATACAAGGTAAAGATATATCTTTTCATTTGTTCAAACCCACTTTTCTGTTGTACTTTCCAGTTCTATACTTTCCATTTGTTCTTTTTTATGTAATTTTTATTTCTCTGCTGAGATTTTATATGTTTTCCATTTGTTTCCAGAGAACTTGGAATTGCTTGGTGAAACATTTTTATGACAGCTGCTTTAAAATCCTTTTCAGATAATTCTAATATTTGATTCACTGGCATGTTACTATCAGATAATTGTCTTTTCTCATTCAAGTTTTGAATTCCTGGTTCTTGGTATGATGTCTCTCTCTCTCTCTCTCTCTCTCTCTCTCTATATATATATATATATATATACACACACACACACATACATACATACATATATACATATATATATATATTTGAAATAGAGTATTCATCTGTTGCCCAGACTGGGGTGCAGTGGTGTGATCATAGCTCACCGCAACCTCCATCTTCTGGGCTCAGGCCATCCTCCCACCTCCCACCTCAGCTTCCCAAGTAGTTGGGACTACAGGTGATGCCACCATGCCTAGCTAATTTTTGTATTTTTTATACACACAGTGTTTCACTATGTTGCCCAGGCTGGCCTCAAACTCCTGAGCTCAAGCGATCTCCCTGTCTTGGCCTCTCAAAGTGCCAGGATTACAGACAGGCGTGAGCCACCATGCCTGGCCAATAGGTAATTTTTGATTGCATGCTGGACATTTTGGCTATTATGTTAGGAGTCTCTGGGTCCTACTTAAATCTTCTGTTTTAAGAGACAGTCACTCTATTTTAGTTTAACACACAAATACTGGCTTACTTTGCAGGCTGTGGTTCCAACAACAATTTAATTCTCAGAGCCTTCACAATGCTATTTTGAGCTGTTTAGTTTACTTCCTGCCCTTGAGGCTGCCACTGGTCCTTTATGGTGCTACCTGAGGAGACAGAAAGAGCTTCCAAAGTCGGGGCTTCCTGGTTTTCCCAAGTTGGGGAAAAGAGTCCTCAGCCCACAGGGTCAAATAGGTTTCCCATGCCAGTCCACTTGCTGTAGTGGGGTTCCCTTTACTAGTGCTGCAGAGCTGCCAGGTCGCTCTCTGTAAGAGAGGGAAGTCTCAACAACACAGAGACAAAATCTTCCTGGCCTAAATGCTTCTTGTTACAGGATGCCCCTTGTTGGTAACTCTTAGATTCCGTGTGTCTCTCCTGCTTGGAAAGGAGGGGTACTTTTTGTGGAATAACTTTTTAACTAGTGACTGACTCTATTTCACCTATGATAATTTGTGACTTTCTGTTTCTAATGAGGTCATTTTGGAAATGTACCTTTTTAAAAAGAAAGTTACCTTTTTCTCTAAGTCAGGAGTCATGAAGTATTTTCTGTAAAGGATATTGAGTAAATATTTTTTCCATAAGCTCTCTGCCACAAGTACTCAATTCTGCCATTTTTGCAAAAGGAGCCATATGTAATATATAAAAGAATAGGTATGTTCCAGTAAAACTTTACTTATAAAAATAGGCAGTGGATAGATTTGGCCATGGGCTATAGTTTATCAAATCCTGCTCAAAGTTGTACAGTGTATTTGCATAGAGCATTGCAAAGTAATTTCTTACAACTTTTTAAACATTTTCTTTTGTTTATTATTTCCTCCTTGTCACTTTGGATTTTGTGTATTTGTGCTTTCTTCCTTTCTGTATTTGATTAAGTTATACATACAATGGTTTGTCTATTTTGGTAAGTTCTTTCCAAAAACTGGGATTTAGTTTTATTTTTAATCTTATTGTTTTGTTTTGCTTTTTAATATATCAATTTTGTTTTTATCTTTATTCATTTCTAGTTTATTTTGGTTTTGTTTTTCTCATTGTACCATTTTGAAGTAGGGATTTAATGTATTTATTTACATTGTTTTTATATACATAATTCTATAAATTTTCTTCTGATAGCTTCTTTTTGTTTCCCACAGATTCAGGTGTCATATTTTTATAATTTTTAAGAAATTTTGTAATTTTGTTTTGTATTTTCCCTTTGATCTATTAGTTACTTAATAGAGCTTTTAAAAAAATTCTACATGGAAATGTCTTTTTTTTTTTAAATTTTGTTATTAATTTTTTTTTATTTACTGTGGTCTAGACTGTTGCTTATATTATTTCTAGTCTTCTTAATTTATTGCGTTTTTTTCTATACATTGATACAGTCAATTTTTATAAATGTTCCATGTGCACTGGATAGAAAATGTCTCCTCCATTACTGGGACTGATTTTATATGTAGCTCTAAGATTTACTTTATTGATTATATTTTACTTTTCTCTAACCCAACCTATATTTTGTCTACTTGGTTTGATTTGGATTTAGAGACAGGTGTTAGAGATTTATCTTACCAATGTAGTTTCTGCTTTATAAAAGTTAATACTGAGTTACTGGATGAATTGTAATCATCAGTGCTATCAAGTCTCATTTTTGTATCTCAATGCATTTGGTCTTAATTCTACTTTCTTAGATATTTAGTATTCAATATTCAATTTTGTTTTTTAATCAGTCTGAATATTATTTATAGATGGGTGAGTTAAGCTTATTTACATTTACTGACATGATCAATATGTCAAAATGTTTTGCCTTGGTTCTATTACACACATACATATTACATGAATACTTTTTAAAATTTAAATTAATATCTTTCAATAGTAACTTTCATTTTATTTTTGGCTATTGGTTGTTGATTCCCTACTATAAGCCACATTAAAATTAACTAGTAATCTTTTCTTACTCCTCTACCTTTCTGTACAGCATCAAATTTGAAGTAATGCTCTTTTTCTCTCTGTCAGTATTTTTAAAGCAATCAGCAGGTTAGTCAATGTTTTATACACATTCTCCATTTTCTCCCAATTTTTGATGATTATTCCCTATCTACACTGTCAGAAATATTACATTACATTTTTAACTTAAAAGTCTCTCCAATCTTTTGGTTAGCTGAAATGTACCCTTTAGTAAATCACTCAGGTAGAGCTCAGGGGAACAATATTTCCTAAATTACCACATGTTCATAAACATTTATTTGGAGCCTTTATATTGACAAATTGGTTTGGCTACATAGGAAATGTGGCTCACATTCTCTTTCCTTGAGTATCTTAAATATGTTACTCCATTGATCTCTGAAATAAAGTCTTCTGATGAAAACTTCAGTGACAACCTGATTTTTTCCCTTGCGAATTGCTTTTTGCCTCGATACCCAAACGATTTTTTAGAATTTAATATTTTTACTAGACTGTGCCTCAATGTTTGCCTTCCCATGTAGATTTTTTCCAGTATGTGATATACATTTTCGTACGTTTCAAATAACCTTGTATTTGAAGACTTTTAAATTGATCATTGTTAGAGTATATTCTATCCCCTTGGTTTGGTTTTCTCACAAAGACTCCTATGACATACATGTTACATCTTTTCTACGAACTTCTATATCTATCACTTTCTTTTGAATCCTTTTTAATCTTCTTCCTGATTTATTTTTCACTGTGAATTTTTTCCACCTTTCCATCTTCCATTTCTATGAAGGCATTATCAGTAGTTTTATTCATTCTAGTATTCTTTGACTTTATTCTTTATTTCTAAAATGACTTTTTCTTTGTTTCCTTCTTTTATGCAACTGTCATCATTTTCCCCCAAATTTTACTCTTCTCCAATTACCTCATTCTAATTTTTAACATTTGTGTTAATATTCATATTTCATAGCTTTTATCACTTTCTTAATTTCTTTTGGGTAATTTTGAAATATTCGTATGTTAGTTTCCTATTCCTACTGTAACAAATTACCATAAACTTAATGCCTTAAAACACCTCATATTTATTATCTTACAGTTCTCAGGGTCAGATGTCCAAAATTGGTCTCACTGGGCTAAAATTCAGGTGCCAAGAAAGCTGTGTTCTTTCTGGAAGCTCTAGGGGAGAATCTGTTTCCTTGCCTTTTCTAACTTCTACAGATACTCACATTCCTTGACCAAGGCCCCATTCATCCACCTTCAAAGTCAGTGATGTTGGGCTGAGTCCCTCCTACACTGCCATTTCTCTAGTTCTCCCTCTCCTGTCTCCTCCTTCCACTTAGAAGGATCCTTGTAATTGCATTAGACCCACCTGGATAATCCAGGCTAATTTCCCTATTTTACAGTCATCTGGTTAGCAATCTTAATCCCATCTTCGACCTAATTCTCTTTTGCCATGCCACCTAACATATTCACAGGCTCAGAGGATTAGGATGTCGACAACATCAAGGGGTCATTATTCTGCCTACTACAATCAGCTTACTGTTTTCAAACATTTTGTGGCATGTCAGTTTTGCATGCTTTCATTTTCTGTAGGAATATTAGTCTCCTTGTTCTCTTGTTTTAAATACTACTACTATATTGTATACAAACATAATCTCTTTAAGTAAATGAAGTTTTAAGAAGAAAATAACAATGCAATATCCTTTGAAACTGGTCCTCCTCCCTTTCTTTCCACACCTTTATCTGAACTGCCTAGCCCTTTGGTGCTTCTGTCTCTATTCTGCTCAATTTGGATCCTATTTCTAGCAATTTCTCCATAGTACAAGGCTTTGTCTTGGAAGACAGCTTTGTTTTCATAGTTTTTAGAGTTTATAGGACCAAGATGCTTCCAGAACCATTAGAATTTATAGCAACATAATCCACCGTACTCATCTGTGAATTGGATCCTGCAGGATCCTGTCATAGCTTTTTAGATGGCAGTTCTCACATTAGTTCACCACTCACCTATTCTGAGAAATAACAGAAACCCAGCTAGCTTCTCTCTGCTTCTGCCTACACAGATATAGACACCAGGTATTGTAATTATTGGTGGTTTGTTGACACTCATGTTTGGAGGTTCATGGAGATGCCTTTTCACATAGTTTTGCGTATGGGTCTTTGCTTATGCTATAGTCGGTGCTTGTTTATTTTAATAGGGAGTCAGGAATATTAGAAAAACATGCCATTGCCGTATTCCACAGTTTCTCTTTACATTTTAGGGATATCACAGAACCAAGTGCAGCAGACTCAATCTCCTTTTGAGTGATACATGATAGCTCTGTACTGTATACAGGGTGAAGTGAGGAGACAAATGTCATTTATTGCTATCTCTTTAACACTGTCTCTTTTCTTTAAGGGAGGTAGAGTAATATAGGAGAGGAAGAATCATCAGAGAGAGACAAACAGTTCATTCAGATGGGCCACTTATCTGATTCAACCATCCCTTTTTCATACCAAAGGAGTGCTTGACCCAGCTCATAACTTGGATTTATTTATGAATTTATTTGTTAATTTTAATTTTTTCAGATATTCATAACGTACCTTCTATATGCTGAATTCTTGGGAGGCCAAGGTGGGTGGATCACAAGGTCAGGAGTTCGAGACCAGCCTGGCCAATATGGTGAAATCCTGTCTCCACTAAAAATAAAAAAAAATCAGCTGAGCGTGGTGGCATGCACCTGTAGTTCCAGCTGCTTGGGAGGCTGAGGCAGGAGAATCGCTTGAACCTGGGAGGCAGAGGCTGCAGTGAGCCGAGATCATGCCACTGCACTCCAGCCTGGGTGACAGAGTGACACTCTGTCTCAAAAAAAAAAAAAAAAGAAGGAAAGAAAAAAAGAAATACAAAGATGTCTAAAACCTGGACTCTACTCTCAAATGTCTTCAGTCTAGTACAGAAGATAAGATGATTCCACAAATAACTATAACTTAAATGCTGTAAGGATATATCCTCAGGGAGATGACTAATTAACCACAAAAGGACCAAAGGAAAACAAAATACGATTTTTTCCTCTACCTCATTTGTATCTGAATCTTCCCAGTAGCTCAAGGATACACTGTAAGTAGGACAGGCAAGCCTCAGTTTTCAACCACCACAGAAAATGAGAGTGATGACTTTGCTCATCTGTAGGGATGTTCAAAAGGGAAGTGTTATCCCTCAAGGGATGCCTGTTCAGCAGTGATCACCATGTGATTAAGTCCAACATTCTGGCAAGAAAGGAAAGCCAAAAATATTCATCATGAAGTTACCTTGTTTTAGAAAGGGCAACTATGAAAAAATACGGGTTTTATTAGGAGGAAAAAAAAATGAAAGAAATAGTTTTAAAAGTAAATAACCATGAAGAAGCTGAGAGACTGTTTAAGAATGGCTTATTGGAAACTTGGGGAAAATGTCTGACTCAGCCCAAATAGGACAGGCATTTAAAAAATAAACACTAAATGGCAAAGGAAAGAAGGCTGTTATGGGGAGTGGGAATGAATCTTTTTATGGAGGAAAAGAATTTTCCAGGAAGAAGAGTGGTAATTCTGTAAAATGTGACACACCAAATGCAATGCAAACTAGTAATTAAGTAGGTCAAAAGCTCTTTAATTACCAGGGCACCTTGCAAGGAAATCCAAAATCAAACACTAAAGTTTTCAAACAAAGAAAAGAAAGCTGGTAGAGTATTAATGGAACTACTTGAGCCTGATAAAAACGTTGTACTCAAGCGCAATATATATATATATACACACACACATATATATTGTATAAATTATAATATATATATAATATAAAGACAATAGTGCAGAAAAGGAATTTGTCAGAGTATTTAATTTTTAAAAAGTAATTTTATGGAGCTCTCCCAATTTAAATACTTTAAATTGTACTTTCAACAGAAAATCTGTATCAGTTAGCTTTTGCTGCATAACAAACCACTTCAAAACTTAGTGGTTTAAAGCAAAAATTACTTATTAGTTAGTTCATAATTCAGTGGATTGGCAATTTGGACTAGAATCAGTTGGGCAGTTCTGCTGTCTCATCTGGTTCTCATTCATGTGGCTCAGCCAGAGCTGGATGGTCAAGATGGCCTCACTCCCATTTCTGTCAACTCTGAGGCTCTCTTCCGTGTGGTCTCTCCAACAGGCTACTTCAGACTCTTTGCATCCTTGTTTGATGGTGACATTTGCAGCAACAAGGAAGAATCCCTAGTGACCAAGCACTTTATAATACAAGCCTTGGCTTACATCCTATTTCTTCATGTCCCATTGGCCAAGGAAGTCATTTGGCTAAGCCCAGACTCAAGGGATGAAGAATTAAACTCCACTTCCTGATGGGAAGAGTGGCAAAATCTCGTTATAAAGGAATGTGCATAAAACATAGGAGGAAGTACTGTGGCCAGCTTTGCAAGCAACCAACCACAGTTTGCCCTCAGGTCACAAAATGAACTTGCTTTGCACAGGCAAAATACAATCTCTGTCTTCTACGAAAGTCATATCCCATGATGGTATCAGGCTTGAAGGATCTTCATCGAAATCAGTTCCAGATATAGATGAGTCTCTTTAGGCGTAGCTCTTCAGGTTCAGCTCCTCTTAATCCAAAGACTTATCCACTAAAGTTAGCTGCCTTCTTCACACACACATACAACATGTAACAGTGAGAAGGGACAGGTAACAGCAATAAACGCTCCCACTTGAAATGGGAAGAACACTGGCACAAAGCAGTCACCGGTTCATAACTACTGTGAGATCCTGCCAGGCAAATTTTAAGGACCTCAACTATTAGAACAGGAAATGTTCCTTAATTAGGGCCCAATTCTAGCTCCCAAGACTTGTTTCCAAGTTCATTGTTCTGTGCTGCTCTTGGCTATACCCTTAAAAAGCCTGAATTCTACCCATAGAAAGTTTGGGCCCACAGACCTCCTTTGGTTTTAAACTGCTTCAGTCCTTTTTAGCAAAAGCTGGCAGTGCTTTCATTAAGCTTTGTGAATTCCCCCATAAAGCAAAGTCAAGTGCACTCCATACCCCAAAAGCCAAACCCACACCTTCTTTGGAAATAGGCATCTCTCTTATTTGGGTATCATTTCAGGCTGATTGGGAGAATGCCCTTAAAATTACTGAAAGCTCCTTTGCCTGGCTGAATGTCTACTAGGCACCATCTTAAATCTATCAGAGGGCTTTAAAAAGGAGCTTATAGCCATACCCTTATGTTATCCTTATTCCCAAAGATATTTCTTGTTTTGAAAATCTTTTGCTGGCTGGAGAAACTGGAAATAAAAAATAGTTTTATTTTCCAATACAGCAAATTTGTCTTCTTTGTATACCTCTAAATTCTGCTTGCCAAATAGTTATTTATTTAGCTCATCTTTCTCTCACAGTTTCACATCAGGTGCAACTAGCAGAAGCAAACAGACACTTTCCCCATTTTGCCATAAGATCTTCTTAGTCCTATCTATAAATTTATTGCATACATTTTTTAATCTGTGACAGTTTTGTCAATTCTTTTGCAACAATGTAACATGAATTACCATCTTTCCAACCTTCTGTTGTGGTTTCCTCACCACTTTTCTAGCCTCCGCTAACAGCTTGTTTGCCTTTTTGTTGTTGTTGTTCACACTTTGGTAGAAATTTCCTCACTGCTTTTTTAGCCTCCACTTGCTGTCTGATCCCAAAGCCACCTCTACATGTTTTAGGTTTTTATTACAGCAGCCTCCCACTTCTGGTAGCAATTTCTATGTCAGTTAAGTTTTACTGCATAATAAACTACTCCCCTGAGAAACTGGCTCAGAGAAAAAAAAAAAGCATCTCTTTTTTTACCACGATTTTGTGGGATGACTGGGTAATATTTTGGTATGGATTGGCTCAGCTTGGGGCTGAATGGTCTAGGACGAGCTCTTTCAGAAATTTGAGGCAGAGCTGGCCTGGGACAGCTGGGCCTCTCTCCAGATTGCCTCTCATCCTCAAAATGGTGGGTCGAGCTTGTTCACATGACAACAGCTTTCCAGGAACAGAGGGTAAGGCTCAAGTGCACAAACACTTTTTAAGCTTCTTTTTGCATAACATTTGCTAATATTTCATTGGCCAAAGCAAGTCACATACCAAGCTCATATTCAAAGGGTGCAGAAATAAACTGCACATCTTGATGGAAGAAGCAGCCATGTCATGTTGCAAAGAGGTGTATGTGTAAGAATGAGAACAACTGTCTCCCTCTTTGTAAACAATCTACCACAAAAGCTAATAATTATAGTTCTAACATCAGAAAATGCACACAAGTGTGCTGCACTGATTGATACGCTAGATGCAGATAAATCACAGGTTTTTGGAAAAATGTAAGAATAGAGACAGTAACTGTAATATATAATTTTCCAGAGATGGCCACAGGGCTTGAGGCTGGTTGAATAAGCAGCGATCACATTCTCCATTCTACGTGAACATCTCTAGAGAAAGTTCTGGGGAGTGCAGAGATGAGCATGAACTGATAGAATCATAAACTGATAGAATCCAGCCTAACTGAGGGTATGAAAAGCAGTACAGTATTTTATATGCCCCCACTATACAAATACTCCCTTACATGTATTCAAGTGAATCGGAGCAAAAGCAATATCAAGGGAAAAGAAGACAATATTTTTTCAAAATGACAACATAAAGCTCAAGGACTGCAATCTGGAAAAAAAATAAGTTAAAAGAAGTTGAAGACTGTCTCCCCTGACCTCCCTTACACAACAAAATGATACCTGCTGAATATAACTGTAGGAGGGTCTCAGGTAGTTTTAATCCTCATTTGGGATTACATACTTCTCTTCCAGTTATTTCCCAGAAGTTTCAGGAATTTACCCTCCATTGCATTATGGATCTTCCCAAAGCGTAAAGTCTGAAGTGATGACCCCAATTGTTATAAAACAGAAATAGCCCTGAGTGGGAGCCATAAGAGAACAGTAGTATGTCCAAAAATAACCTATGGGGGAAAGGCACCATTTGTACCAATCTAAAAAATGGTATAAGAATGCATACTGTGATTTCTTTCTTTTATGTCATTTACTACAGGAGAAGACTAGAAAGAAATACATTAAAATAATAACACTGTTTGTTGCTTGGGGGCTAATATTTTATTTCTTTTATTTTGTATGTTTTATATTTATAAGAATTTCTTTACCAAATAATAATAGATTACACACTAGAAATGGTAATAACTAAAGATATAACTGACTCCATATAACAGCATAATTAATTTGCTTTAAATACTTTTTTCCAAAGGTAGAATATAAAACATACATACACGCCTCAACGTGGGATTATCCTTTCTAAGTTAAAATCAATGTTACCTCTCCGACTGAATAAACAGTCTTTTACCCAGGAATTTGCCCTAAAGAAACGCATTTTGTTTAGCACTTTTATAAAAGATTAGGCATATAGGGAAGCCTTTTTCCAGTTTGCTACATAGGAATAAAATGCCAAAGTGATAATAAGAATGCATAGAATAATCACACAATAATACGACATAGGCAGAAAAGTGACTGCTGAGTTTTAGGGTGGGCAGAGTAAGGAAAAGTTGAGGTGGCACTCACAGAGCTGATATGGTTGCTGCTCTGGGAGAGTTACAGTCTAGATAAGGCATGTGACACTCATCAAAGGAGGGAGGATACACTTGAACTTACTATGCAAATACATTAGCATATTGGGTGGGGATATATTTATTGGAGACAGATATAAGTCTGAACTCATTTAGCATTTTCTAGAAAGGTTTTATTTTGGCTTTGAACAAAATATTTACATAAATCCAAAATTAAACTCTTCCTACTATATTCCCTGTTTAGCTCATGTTTTCCAAAAGGTGGGAAATCGCATGGGGACTAGAGAGACCAAACACACTGTATGTTCCTTACTGAATGTATTATTACCTTCCTCTCCACAACTGCGTTAATATCTACTAAGGTGAAACGTAACTATTACCTATTTAGACAGTGAAGCCTTAAGACAGGACCATATAATAATTTCTACTTGCCAAATATAAGAGGAACCATTTGAACAAAATGTGTAAGAGGGAAAAAAGGAAGAATTATTTAATCACACACACTTTCCAAAATCTAAAATATATATATATATATATATATATACACACACAGATACAAATATACATATATATATACACATACATATATACATATATATACACATACATATATACATATATATATAACAATGAATCAACATTTGAAAACATCTGCCTTATCTACTAAATGTCAATACTTTTCTAATCACATTTTGTTTTGTTTGTCTGTGTTGTCCATTGCTGTATCTCCAAATCTCCAGTCTCTGGAAAAATAGATGGCAGATATAGTAGCTGCTTAATAAATATTTGCTAAATGAATTAATGAATAAATGAAAAATATTTTTGTATGTAAGAAAATTCCTGAGAAGAGGTAGCTGCAGGCATCCAGGGAACCAATTATTGGGTTCTCTTAACAAGAAAGGAATATCATATCCTTATCCTTGGATCCACCCAAATTCTATGGTCTTCAAGATTCATGTTGAGGTTTACTCCTTTTTATAAGGTTTCCTGACTGCACTGGTCTTCACTGGCCTCCCTATGAGACTTTATCAGCTCATCATTTAGCTTGTTTCTTTCTTTCTCATTGTTTACTGTTAATCCACATTTTTTTAATGGACTACACTATGTTCAAGCTGTGTTCTCTCCTTAACTCATTGATACAAAGGTTAATAAGACATGGCACCTGCCCTTGAGGGGCTTGCAGACTGGCAGGAACTTATAGGTAAAGTAAATGAGCACAGTGTGTCAAGTATTATACACGCTTTGATGCATTTGGATTGGCCTTCCCAACCACAGCTCTACTCTCCCTCTATTTGAAGAAATTAAAAAACTGATTCCAATAATTCCCACAGACACTTAAAAAGCTAAGTTTCTAAATCTGAGCTAGGGCATACCAGATGCACTTGCACAACAGTTTAAAATTAATGGGAGGTGGCAACCATGTTCCTGCCTCTATCATTAGTAGTTTGTGGTGACTGGGCCTCATGTCTCAGAGTCTGGTCACCAGCTTCATGGGTATGGGAGCAAGTGGGGCAGCAGCAGCAGCAGTTTCTGATCTCTGGATAGCAGTGATGGTGCTGTGACTGCCAAATCAATAGTCCAGTAGTTGTCTTCTAACTTCCGTTCCTCCTATCCTACGAGCATCAAATGCCCTGAATTAAACACTGCTTGAAATCACTAGTATTTTCACTGTATCAAATCCTGATTGATTTTCATAGTATATGGAGAATAGAGTAAGGACATTAAGAAGAGAGCAGGTGGCTGTCCCACAGGTAAAGTGTTAATGGAAAGATAATTGTCCAACTGAGTCAGGCAGATGAGAGGTGGAAGAATTGAACTCAACCTGAGTACATAAGAGTAACTCAAAAACTCAGGATATTTATTTACACTGGGAAACTTACCAAATATCTACTCTAGTCCCTTTACCTTAAAATAAAGGAAAAAGAGACTCAGAGGGGGAAAGGGACTCTCCCTAAGAAATGGAAGGTGTGAGTTCAATGAGCAGCAGGGCCAGGGCAGAACTGGAGCTCCTGCTCTCTAATCCAATGTCCATCTAGCTGTAATGCTCCTGTAATTTTTATTAAGAAAAATTATTCAGAAGAGTATCTAGGTATTTCACTTCTTATAGAAAGTAAGCACCAAAATGTTAATATGATGTTATGATTGTATTTCCATTGATGAACACAATAGCTGAAAATGAGCAGAACATCCTTTCATGGGAATATTGAAATGGATAGCCTCAATAATAAGTGGGAATCAAATTCTTCTAACCATTGCATTATTTTTCCCACCCCTTATATTGCCTATTTTTAATAAACATGTATTTATTACCCCTATTTCTCAGCAGATCTCTCTACTCAGAATCCAGTGGGCCATCCCAGCACTGCTCCCGCTCAAACAACATGGCATCAGTGAAGACAGGATTGATAGCTCTGTTTATTCTGGAAGATTCCTTCAAATATAGTCACTTGTGAGTCAACCACACCTCTTTAGGAAAACATGACACAGCCTCATGTTCTCTGTGACACTCCTGAGTCCATGAATAAATGAATTTGAAAATGCTCCTTCTATTTAGAGTGTGAGATTTTTAACTGTCTTCATCAGAAGAGTCAACAGTCTCTCTGCAAACATTTAACTTACTGAAACATACCATAATCTTATGATGGTAAGTCTTATTTCTGGAAGATATTTCAAAAGATTTCCTGATCTAAATCCCTGATGTCACATAGTTTAGGTGTTACTATTTTCATTTTACTGGGGTAAGGCCTATGGGATTAAATTTCTCTTATAAAGTCATAAAGTTATTCAGAGGCAGAAACAGTGTCAGTCTCTGCATTTCCATCTTCTCAAGTTTCAAATGCAAAGGAATTCACCCCATGGATTCAGCCACACCCAAATCTCAAGCCAATCCTAACTGAGGTAGGAAGTATACTTGGAGCTCTGTCCAGAATCCAAGTACCCATTGCCCACTGCAGGTCTCAAGTACCTGCAGACCTATAATCTTCAGACTTCCCCCAACCCTTGCCATGATTATTAAATCCTTATGAATGGCCCTCAGCCTCCCCTGTTTACATTCCATTCCTTCTGGTGTGATTGAAGCCTTGCATGAGCCTCAGTCAGCCTTTGGGGTTGAGGGAAAGTGCTGACACCATATTGCATCCTTCCAAAAAGGAAGCAGTAGCCTTTGGGATATTGGAATAGGTTAATATTCCAACTTATTCCAATATCCCAAAGGCTACTGCTTCCTTTTTGGGTCGCCAGTTCTGACTGGGCTGTTGTTCCAAACAGAAGAAATCATCTAGAACTAAGACATTGTTCCCAAGACTCAGAATGTTAACAAGTGTCTAGATAGCATTCTTGATTTGCAAAATGACTGATTAAGGTGCAAAAGACAATAGTCACATGTCTATTTATTTTTATTACATTGATCCTTTTCAAATGTCTATTAATATGCACTAGTAAAGTAGTCTATATAGTAATTGAATAAATGAATGGAGATATTTATCTTAGAAGGATGTGCTAAAAAATATGTATGATCAAGAAAATTTGGAGATTCACTTTAAGAATATGTGCAGCAGCATCACATCTACCTGAGTGGCATCCTTTGGATGCTTCTAGACAGTAAGCTCCAGAAAGATATTGTGTCTGTTTATGGAAGCCATCCTCACTGCCGAGCACTGTGTCTGGTGCATAACAGGTCTTCAATAAATATTTGTGGAATCAATGAATCAAGAAATGAATTAAAACTGGCCGAAATCAAAATAGTTCCTATATATCTTTAGATACTGTAGTGGGTGGAATAGTGTCCCCCAAAATTTTACATCCACCTGGAACCTTAGAATGTGACCCTTATTTGGAAATAGAGTCTTTGCAAACATACTTAGGTAAAAATTGACATGAGATCATACTGGATTAGTGTGGCCCCTAAATCCAATAAGAATGTCATAATTACAGACAGAAAAGGACACACAGAGACACAGAGAGGAAGGTCATGTGAAAACAGAAGTAGGCAGAGACTGGAGTGATGCAGCTCAGCTACAAGCCAAGGAATGCCTGGGGCCACCCGAAACTAGAAAAGCAAGGAAGCATTCTTTTCCAGGGCCTGAGAGGGAGCATGGCCTCGCTGATAACCCTGATTTTGGACTTCTGGCCTCCAGAACTGTGAGAGTATATTTCCAACATGTTATGCTACCAAGTTTGTGGTAATTTGTGAAGACAGCCCAAGGAAACTAGTACGGATAGTATATTTTAGATGCCAGGCCTCTTGCCTTAGTCAGTCTTATTAGACCTGACTCACCTGTCCTTCTCCAGCGGTCTATTGTAACAAATTCAACACGCCCTCCAGTGCAAGTCATAAAATCTAGCTCCCCTGACACCTAGTACAGCATTCTGTTCACTACACGTGACCTTTTATAGCCAAAGAACTTACCTGACAGGAAAAAGTTCTCAGTCTAAGGTGTGGGGACACACTGTGGGTACGTACCCATGAAATTATGATGTAACCTGAAACTCTCTGCTCTTAAAATTGTTTATGAGGCTAAGCTTCTGACCTCTGATATATGCTGGTTCCAGCTAGTTCACAATAATCATGAGATGTGTTATAGTTTTATTTGCGTACTTGATCTTCTGGTCAGGGCAAAAACCAGGAAATGAAGTATTTGATTTTTTTTTTTTAAAAACTCATCTTTGTCGTCATTTAGTACTACTAAACTCTCATTATGTATACATATCCATATAAATAAAAAAACGAGTTAAATTTTAAATCAATCACATTTTCTGAAACCTTCAAAGAGAATCAAACTTCCTTCTAATTGAGGCAAAAATAAAAATTTACCATTCTTCTCCCTAACTAGCCTGTGCCAACAATATAATTTCCTTCAAACAACAGACTACCAAAATGTCTTTTGTATACTTTACATATAACTCAAATAAACATAGATCTGACTGTGCTTGGCAGAGAAGGGGCACTCAAGAAGTGTTAGGACTGTTTTTCTGAATTAAGAAAGAACATTAACATTCAGAAGTACCCCTTTGATTTGAATTGCTTGCTTGCTTGTTGTTATTAGTTACTGTTGATGTGATTGAAATGATCATATCTTCTGCATCTTGAACTATTTACACAGGTACTTGATTTTGAGCATTGAGAAAGAATGTTATTGGTGATCTCACCTGAGGTCAGGAGTTAAAGACCAGCCTGGCCAACATAGTGAAACCTCATATCTACTAAAAATACAAAAAAATTAGCCAGGCATGGTGGTGGGCGCTTGTAATCCCAGCTACTTGGGAGGCTGAAGCAGGAGAATTGCTTGAACCCAGGAGACAGAGGTTGCAGTGAGCCAAGACTGCACCATTGCACTTCAGCCTGGGCAACAAGAATGAAACTCCGTCTCAAAAACAAAAACAAACAAACAAAAAGAATGATACTGGTGATCTGGAAGTGTCATAATTCTGCTGTCATGGTTGAGTCACAATCACTGTGAAAATCACAAAGTGGGTAACAAACCAAGGCAAATGAACCCCAATCTATAAATCACAAAATTTTAAAAGAGAAAAACAAAAACAAAAAAGAGGAGGTATCATCCCAAGATTAGTAATTCAGAAAAGGAAGAAAGATTAAGAAGTGTGGAGAGTTCAGAAGTCAAAATCTAATGAAGACAAACACAAGGGATCAGAATTCCATTAGACTGAGATCCACAAATGTGTAACAAGCACCCGCCACGAGCCAAGCAGTGGGTGAAAGCGAGTAAAGCATGGAGCTCTGACCCACAATCTAGAGAACGCTTAGACATTCTTTGAGAAAGAAAAAAAGTAGGAATCTGAAGAAACTTTTGCATCCATGCATGGTGCAATGTTTTGAACTCTGCTATAAAAGCCAGCTCCAGAGAGCAAGTCTTAGAAGTATCCGCAGCACCTAGCATGCGTTTTTGAATACACATAGAAAGTTCCCAGTAAATGAATATGTTTTGTGTGTTTTACTTAACCTATAAATTAATGTGCAAAGAAATGGGCCATAAAACCAAAGATGAATAGATACAGAAAGAGCCAAGAACAAACAGTACGTAAGAATAATGTGAGGAAGGCTAATATCCAGATGTCGCTTTAAAAATTAAACAACTATTCTTACCACATGGTTTTAAAAAACAAAAACAAAAAGAAAAAGCAACAACAACAACTAAAGATTATTAGAGAAGATGGCTGACGTGGTGTCTGCAGACAGTTACAGGCGGAGGCCTCTGAGGCAGTTCCCATTATCTCTGCAGGGTTCAGGATGACTCAGGGAACCCTAGAATTATAGCCAATCAGATGGGCTGACCTGGAGGTATGCCCAAGAAAAGCACATGGGGTCATGTTCTAGGAATCTGTTTTACACATAGCCTAGCTCAACACTTTTATCAATTACTTGACTGACAATAAAGGGAAAAAATTCTGTGAAATATGAGGATGTCAGAAAGCCACAGGCCAAAGAAAAATTTAATCGTCAAATGATGGAAATAATTTACAAATATATTGATTGGCCAAGTTGGTGTGTATAAAGTTATAGTAAGAGTGTAAAGTTTCATGCTGAGTTCAAAAGGTCGATCACATTAATACAGAAAGGTCGATCTAGTTGCTAGAAATTTATGTTGTTATTTGTTTTCTACTTGATTCCAAACTTAACATATAATTTAAGTGCATGCACACACACACACACACAGACACACACACACAACCATTTGAGTCTACATGTAAAAAATATAAGATGCAAATTAAACCCTATTTTATTCTACACTGGTCCAGGTTTCAGTGTGCCCCATTCTGAGTTTATTTTGGAGGCCCCTGAAGGATCTGGAAGCAATGATTTGGAAAAATTTTGCACAGAGGAGAGATCAATTCAGGGAATCAGTAGAGGCCTCAAATAGCTGAAGGTATCACGTAGTGGAAGGAGTTGACTGATTACACTATTATTAAAGGTAGAGGAAAAGCAACAGGCAAAAGTATAGAAGGACAGTCTTCAGTTGAAGATAATGAGTCATACTCTGTCATTACAGCTGTTCAGCAATAGTCGGCCTACCTTAGGAATACATGAGCCCTGCGTCACCAGCAGCATTCTAGTAGGGCTTGATGACTATTGACAATGAGGAGCAATGGAGAATAGACTCTTTACATCCTTTTCTACTCTAAAGTAAATAGTACAAATAACAGAAAAAAATGTGGAATCAGATAAGCACATGTTCCCATACATACCATCTCTGGAATGTCAGACAACTTTTTAAACCTCTGAGAAAACTGTTCCTAAACCTACTTCTCAGATTAAATAACCTGTGTAAAGCACCTGCCACATAGTAGATGCTAAGTAAATCATGGAAAAACAAATTATCATGATATCATATAGTTTCTACAGAATAAGGAATAGCAACCCTCTTAATACCACTAGATGAAAAAGAAAAACAGAGAAATGAAATAATGTTCTTTAGCTTTCTGACCCTACCTCTGTAACACAAAACTGTGGGTCACACTCTGATTATCTGCTGACTGTTTAAACAAGAGATCTTCCTTTTGCAGAAGACATTTACTTGAATTAAAATATTCATACTTCACAGGCAAGTTGGATTTCTGATAGAAATAAAAAGCAAACCAATAAGGTAAGATTCAAAATTCTATTTTCAGACAAGTACCTTAAATAGAAAAATATTAAAAATATACAATTGAGAGTGGAGTGTTTTTCTCAAATGGTTTCCCCCCAATAATATCTGAAGAAGGGGCCCTTTACAGAAAGAGAAATTTATCATTTAAGATACGCATCATATGTTAACCCATGAAAGCTGATGTTTGATAACTTTGAAAATTGCTTTATCTTTTAGCTTTTCCTTTAAAAAAATGGACAGACTTTAGGTAGCTTAGCATATAGATTAATTTTTAAAATTTATTGAAACGTCCTTTAAGTGTTAGTGAATTGAGATTTGCAATTAAAAGTTTGTATCCTTAAGTGCAAGTGAAACTGTGCTGGATGTTCTCATTATGAACTTGCCCAATAAATCACAATTAAGATATTCATAATAAAAGCATTCATCTTGGAAAGAAATTTGCTTGAATATAGTGCTAGGAAGAAAAGAATTGCCCTAATGTAGATAGAGTGGGGAACATAGCTTTACACAGAGACCTTTACCAAACAGGCCAAAAATATGCACAAAAAATTATTTTGAAGAAACTTCACAGAAACTTTTTTTTCATTTTTGAGAGCAGATGAAAGACATTTGTGATATTAAAAGCAGTAGCTGTCACCTGATCTGTGAACTCTGCCAATTCCAAGGATCTAGGTAAAACTAGTGTAAGGAGAACTGCTTCCTGGACTGTTAACAAATACAGACAACAGGAGAAATAAAGCTGATGTAAAGATATTGGAAAGTTAATCCAAACAATTATCACCAGAGACAGGCGAATGGAAAGAAAGACAGAGGGAAGGTACAGGCGCGGGGAGGGCATGGGGGGAAGGGGGAAATAGAAGAGTGACATTTGGTGATGAACCATATGTGCGTGGTTTGAAAGACATGACTGAATTGTTTTTGGTGCAGTATTATTCTGACATTTAGAATGAGGCAATTTTCCATTTCCATTAATGTACTGCCAAATAGAAGGGGAACTGTCGCGAGTTAAAGACTAAAGAAAGCTGTTCCTCAGTGTTGTATTAAATCATTGCTGATGAACTCATTAAGAACAAATTAACAAGGTAAATTGTACTAGGAATAACCAGCAAGAAAATCCAAGTGAATTATACAACTTCACTAGTTTCTAAACGGTTCAGCATTAAACAATGCCAGCACATGACGTCAAAGTGGGAGATACTCTTTGGTCTCTACAAATTTCCCAGTATCTTCGGAAAGGACCCAGGGTTACTTCAGAAAGAGGAGAAAATTTGACGTAGTATCTCAACAGACTTCATAACAACTAAAAGATGTTAAGGGAAATGATCCCCGCCCACCTTTCCACTCCATTTTTCAAATAGAAAAGAGGCTAAAACTTTGTGTGAGGCATGATAAAAAAACAAAAATGGGTTGTCTGTGATCCAAGCAATACATTTAGCCCTTTGTCCTAATGATCAGCATAGAGAAGATTATTAAAACTGTACAAATAAGTTTCCTCATTTTCCATGAGATTAGCTAGACATGAATTTTTTTGCCTTTCTCAGATGAGGGTGAAAAACCTTCTCTGTTGTCTTCAAATCCTTCTAATGGATTTCACCTTTCAGGTGGAAGAGCTGAAAAATAACATCGAGGTGCTCCTATCTCAACATTCCAGGATTCGCAAATCCTCTAAGGTGATCAGCCCCTTGTATATCTAGTTACAAAGCAACTCAGACTTGTCATTTCTGTTTTATTCTCAGCACTGATGCTCTAGGTAGTGTAGACAAGCTGAGAAAAAAAAAAAGGCAGAAGAAACTACAGCAACATGCTCATTAATTTGTCCAATGGCCACACTCTACATTTTCTCATGTTGAGTCCATGTTCTGGAACTCAGTAATGAAATCCCGAAACCTTTTTACATGATGATGTCCGCCCTCTCGCTTCATGTTTTCTGTTGACATTTTGATAGGTCTTCTTTCTGCCATAAAAGAGAACTCAAGACATCTCCGTGACAGCGTGAGTCTAGGTCCTGGACTCCTTTTTTCTCCCTATGGCATTCCTAGGGCCTAGCATGTTGCTTAGAACACAAGAGGCACATAATAAAAGCTGTGTTATTTGAATAGAGGAATGAATAATAATGTTGTGTACTTACATTATGGCCCATATACAGAATTCTCCCCCATATATTAACAAATGGTCATTTGAAATTCCAGGAAATACTGGTTCTAACTTGAGATTGATACAATAACAGCCATGTCTTAAATGTGAATTAATCTACTGCATTTTCTCTAATTTTTCATAGTCATTAAAGCTCAACTTCTCAAAAGCAATTCCTTTATAATGTATTGTAATATTTTTACTTCAATTGATTTAATTCATTTATGAGAATCTTTTTTAAAACTACAATTTCAGTTGGGTTCATTTTAAATGATTTTGAATCATTTACATTTATATAGCCCTTCATCTTATGATCTCAAAGTCCATTTATATGTTATTTATTTCTAATGTAGAGCAGGGTGGAATAATTGTTCCCATTTTACAGACACACTGAAATAAACCCTAAATATATGGCTTTCAGCAAATAACTCAGATGGGAAATTTGAGACTCAAGATCAAACCCATTATTCCTCATCCAAGAAATCACATATTTCCTTTATATTGTTGCTTAAAAATTTATTTTCTATTATAACTTCAGTCTCCCTTATGAAACACCTAACTTCTGCTTACTAAACTTTAAATAGAAATATGCATATGGATTGCTCCAACCGTTCCCTCCCCCTAATTCATCTTCAAGGTCATTGAATATGACCAATCGTTGTTAAACTGGTGCTAAAACAAGTTCTGCTGAAGTCAACAGGAACCAGAAATGTGCTTGATGAAAGGTTTAAAGTCTGTATAGGTACCTGATTTTAAAAGTCGTAGCCCCTTTAAATTAATTGAAAGGACTACTGAGTGCTGGCCAGGACATACTGCCTAACCATTTCCATAATAAAGGATGGCAACATGAAAACTATTATGTCTGGACATGTTACCCCAACTTTGTTTACATATTCAATATCTCATAATCAAAATGTATAAAACCAAGATAAACCACCTTTGCCTTTTAAATCAGACAATTCATTTTGCTTTTGCGATTCGTGGTTGCAGCTTACTGATCTGATAATTATATCCACAGAGAAACTGATCTTAGTAAGGAAGGAGAGAGGTCTAGAGAATAAACCAAAAAATCCTTTCTGCTTTGTTTGGTTTGTTATTTTTTCAAGGAATTTTTTTAAATCATTTGTCTTATAGATAATAAAAAAGTTTGATGAAGTAAAAACCATTTAAATAAAAGAACCTAAGTCAACTCTCTGCTCTGAAAATGTTCTGGCCTAAGGGTGTGTTTTTCCAGCTTCATTGCCTGCCAGTGCAAGGTCAGGGCTCCTACTGAATGTTGTTTTCTGAAATCAGGATGCTTCATTTTAACCTAAGTAAAGTCACCAAGGACCACGAATCCTCTTCTGATCTCCTTGGGGCTGAGCTCCATGCTCTGTTAGCTGGCTAAGCAGAGCGTAGTGAAGGCCCATCTAACCCTGGATACGTACATTTCCAATGATCCCTGCCTAGAGTCACACTAACGAGAACACTTATGGAGTGTGGAAGGAGGATCCTCTTTTTGGTCATATGACTTTATAAACACCATCTCCATTAGTGGAAAACCACAGTTAAAACATTTTCCAATGACCTGGTTATGCTTTCCTTCCTGATTTACTCACTCACCATGGTAGCATTCTCAATTTTAATGAAAATAAAAATGTATTGGAATTAGATCATTTTTTATTTAAAATAATTTTTTTGACTCTAAATATGTGAGATGGGCAGCTTCATAGGCACATGACTGCTTCTTTATTTACACTGTGAATGTAAGAAGACACTCTCTCTACTACCAGGCTTGAATCTATGAATGTAAGGATAAAGATGTTTTACTTTAATCTTTATGGTAACTCAACAATGGCAATGATCCTTCTAGGGCATGTTAGTAGCAAATATCTGAGGACAAATTTAGGTCAACTCAATTTGACCTCTTTGAGGAAGACCTCTTTGATCTTCCCTATCCCCTTCAGGCCAATTGCCAAAGCTTGCTTTCTAACCCAATTAATTACATTCTGTAGGTCTTTAAACTTTGACATAATAAATCTCACCTTCTACCTTTTCAAAATATTCTTCAGTCCTCTCCCTAGTTACAAGAATACCCAAAGGCCTTTCTATTCTTCTTCTACAGTTTTCTTTAGCAAGTCATTCTTAGCCATTTCCATTCTATCAGATTATCATGTTTGATGGGATATAATGGTCTAACTTTGAATGTTTTTACAGAAAAATGGATTTTCTCTAATTTCATGTTTAGGAAATCTTTTTATTTTTCATGTACATTGCTATAAGCTTAAGCTGACTTCGGCACCTAGTTTCCCTTCTGGCACCTCTCCAAGAACAAATATTCCCATGGAGAAGCATTCCCTATGATGAGACTGCATCTTGACACCTCATCACCTGAGACTGATGAATCTCCTTCCAGATATTTTATTCATATCTTTTGATAACCACCACTAAATTCTTTTCCCCAGACTTGGCTTGTCTTACATCATTAAGAAAAATTCCACACCCAATTCTCTAGCTGCAACCTCTATGTGTTCTAATCCAGACTTACTATCTCTGCTAAAATAAACCTTTTTCTTTTTTCAGATTTACCATTCCCCAAATCCTTGCATTAGCTTTTCAAAACCTCCTCCCATTGGTAAGACCCATACAAGTGAGGTTACTCCTTCCTGTTTTGTATGTGCAACCCACTGTCATGACTGTCCTCCCAGGTGCTATTTGCTAATTTGTAGGCTTCTTTATCATATTTGCCTCACGGCAACAGATATCTGAAAGTAATATCCTTAAAAATAGGAGGAAACCAGCCTCTCCAATTGCTTCCCATGGCTAAGCATAGTGATTTGAGCCTCCATGACTCCCTCTTTCAGCGCCTCTGAAATTCAAAGCTTTGTCCTTTAAGCAAGTGTCTTCCCATACCTCAGTCTAGACCTCTTTAGATGATTAATACACTCAATTAAGAACCCAAATCAATTTCTGCAGCACACACTAGTGATGGATAAGAAAAGCTCAGCATGCATCCAGCTGTTCTACAGGAAGGAGGTGCAAATAGTTAAAAGCATATTGGAGTTAAAGAAACTGGAGTTTGAATCTCAGTTTTGCTACTGACTAACTGGGCAAGACATTGGGCAAGTGACTTAAATTTTGGGGGCTTCAATTTCTCCACCTACAAAGTGAAGATAATAATAAAGCTACCTTAGTGGCTGACATTTTGCATGTGAAGCACATTTAGCATAATACCTCCCGTATAATAAGTATAAGTGAATACTGTCTTTCAATAAAACTTCACATACTGCATTTGACTATTTACTGTGGATCTGAACTCACATTATACTTTAGGACAATATAAAATATTATGACTAAGAATTTTTCCAAAGGAATATTTTTGTATCAAAATATGTATGTATAATCAAAATATCATGGAAAAGTTCATAATCAAGAGAGGCTCAGAGAGACTAACCAGCTGTTTGAGGTTTAAATAGTTGGTTTGTTATAGAGTTCTGCATGAGAACTCAAGCTGCCTGACTCCTAGTTAAGTGCTCTTTTGCTATACAGAACTGGCAGTGATCACTCTTCTCTGAGAATTACTAATTTTAGTTTGTGGAAAAATGCATTTTTTTGGAAATAGAAGTGATTCTGTATGTTTACCCTAGAAAGCCAACTGAGTTGCTTTGAGAAGAAAAATGCTCAAGTTTTAAGGTGAAATGCCCATCAGCTGCCAAGGCAACTCCAGCTACAACAATGTCTGTGTTCCACTGTTCCTCTTTCACTCAGCACAGACCTTTGTCTCATAATAGAGTTGTTTCTTCTCATTGAACTTTTTCTTTGTTGTTATTACTGAGTATTGTAATTAAACATTCTTCTTGAATCTGCTTGGCAGCTGCCACTGTGTTCTAAGGAACCATTCATAGCCTTGTGTATTATTATCCTAATCCTCTGTTATAAAGAAAACTACTTAATGCCAAAAATCAGATACAAATACTGAAAGCACTTTACATTTGGTTTTATTAGAATGAGTATTAATTGACATACTGGGGTGGGGGTGGGTCCAATTCTTCAAGACACTAGGACCTCTGTTAAGTTAAAGTAAGCGTGCAATTTTGAGTTCCACTTGAGTTATATTCAGCTTATGTGTTAACTTCAACATAGCTTGGGAAGCATTCACTGCACTGAATATTCATATGGTGTGCGTGATACAGACACTGAACCCAATTTAGTAAATGAATACTTGTAATTTCACCAAAGCCCCGCCGAGAGATTATTATGCAGATTTATGAAGGAATATCACTGAAGCAATTCTTGGCTATGTCTTCACTCACCAAGGACTCAAAAGTGTGTAAACCTCAAATCATTTTCTATATATTTACCGCTACTGGTTTCATCTTCTGAACTTTTCTGACATTACCTCTCACTCTCTGTTTTATCTCTAATTTTCCCTTTAATATTCTTGCCCTTGAGCAAAGAGCCAGCATCATAACACCTACGAGCACTGCCAAGTTCCTCCTGACAATATCCTGGCTGCCATAATGCCAGCAATCTGTTCCAATCCTGTCACTGCAAAATCTCATTAAAGGCAAAAGGATGCCGGGTCACAGGCATATAGATACACAGCAGAAGGGGCTCATATTTCCAGGACCGACTATGCCCTGTGCTAGGTCTGCTGATGTCTTCAGAGAAATCACATGTTGGCAAAGAGCTGGGCTTAGAGAGCAGAAGCTAGTGTTGCTCGTGCACGCTGCAGTATAGAGACCTAACATCCCTATTCCCTTGAGGGACATTAACGGGTTATAGAGACCAGATTCAGAACGAGCACATTTCCCCAAAGGTTTGTGCAAAAGGAAATGAGACACAGCCTGATTGAATAAGGCCTGGAGTGCATTGCAGGAGACCTGGATTTGAGTTTAAGCCTATAACTAGCTCATGGTCACCCTGGAACAGTCACTTAGATCCTCTGCACCTCATATTCCTAGGCCATTGGAACATCCAGATCTTCAATTCTATAGTAATTTTCTAGAATTTACAAATGAAACTCCAGAATTTTATAGGTGAAAAACTCCAACTCATACTACAAATTAGCAGGAGACCCAGACTTGTAAACTTCCAGGAACATCAGCTCATGAAATGACAAACACTTAAGTCCATGTAACAATTCAGTTCATATCTAATAAGGTATCATCACATCTCAGTAAGTGTGCATTGGAAGTTTATAGAAAACTCCAAATAATTTAGTGGCAAGCTTTTTTATTACAACTTACAAAATCATCTTACAAACATCCATCTATCTATCTTTACTTCTTTCTGTAGCTCACTGGAATTACCTCTTTTTCTGGGATTAAAACCAAAAAGATACTGCTATAGCCATATATACCACAACATAGTGTTACATTTCACATCTTGGGCTTTGGAGTGAAGCAGTCAATACTAACTTCTTAACTTCTCCAAAGTTAAACCACCTCTTTGAGCAGATGTGAAAATTAACAAAATAATGCAGGAAAAAGTTCTCAATACTGGGCATGGCATTTATTAATAGTAATGCTTAATAAACTTCAGTTCTTATTGTTATTACAGCAAACAATTTCATTGCAATTTTTGTGAAAACTGCCCTAGGGTGCAAGATACTATTACAGTAGCAAGAATCATCGGGGGAAAGGGTTGAAGAGAGACTGAACAGAATGGGATTTTTTTCTTGGTTTGTGTATGTATAGCTATGTAATCTTGGATGAGCAATTTAACTTCTTGAAGCCTCAATTTCTTCATTGGTAAAACAGAGATAATACTAATGTTATGTGAAAATGAAGTAAGATAATACATGTGACAACAAATACTGAAGGAAACTTTTTGTGTTCACCTGAAATCAACAATGGAGCTCAAGTCCAGGGACCATGACTTAGAACCCCATATTTACAGGGCAGCAGCCAGCAGTTGGGGCCACAGAGCCCTCTAAGGTCTTCTAAAAAGGGGGAAAAGGCTGGGCGTGGTGGCTTACACCTGTAATCCCAGGACTTTGGGAGGCCAAGGCTGGCGGATCACGAGGTCAGGAGTTCAAGACCAGCCTGGCCAGCATGGTAAAACCCTGTCTCTACTAAAAATACAAAAAATTAGTCGGGCATGGTGGCGCATGCCTGTAATCCCAGCTACTCGGGAGGCTGAGGCAGGAGAATTTCTTGAACCTGGGAGGTGGAGGTTGCAGTAAGTGAAGATTGCACCACTGCACTCCAGCCTGGGTGACAGGGTGAGAATCCATCTCAAAAAAAAAAAAAAAAAAAAAAAGAAAGAAAAAAAGGGTGTGGTGGAATAGTCTTAGCACAATCAACCATAATCACTAGACCCTTGCTAATCTACGTGTGGTCCATAAGCCAGCAGCATCAGCATCACCTGGGAACCTGATAGGAATCTCAGGCCCCACCTCACAATTATGGAGTTAGAATCTTCATTCTAAAAAGTTCCTGGGTGACTCAGGTGCACATTAAGTTTTGATTAACACTCGCTTAGACCATCTGTATAAACTTTAGTTTATACAAGCAAAAGACAGGTGAGGAAAAGAGAAGGAAATCTTCAGATTAATGAGTTGTCAGCTCCTTTAGGTTGGGGAGAGACATGACTATGGGTTTTCTCTCCCAAGGGGCATGGTTTAACTAAGTGTGCAGAGGAGCTAGGTAGGTAGAGCATCAGATGAATCACTTGAAAAGATTAAGGATCTCTGCAAGAAGGAGAAGTTGGCATTTTAAGTAGCTTTTTGATCATTTTGTGGCTACGTGAAACAAAAAATAGCAAATTGGTGAGAGGTAATAGAGTAAACATAGTGGGAGCATAATGCAGAGGCAAGCTGCATCCTCCTCATTTTGTGGGGCTGAAATTCCTGAGTTTCTGTATGGCAAGAAACACTGCTAGAGATAGCCAGGGTTGAGCTGCCATTTTGCTAGGGCCCTCCTGCAGAGTGCTGTCCTATGAGCACCTAGGAGGTGGGAGGTGGGAGCTAAGAAGGCAGGAAATTGCTCAGTCAGGTTCAATCTTGTGCTTCTCCACATCAGGGAACTCTGTGATGAAGAAATCTCTAAGGACTCTGAGAAGAATGGTCCTGTACTCGAGTTTGAGTTTTAAACTAGGAAAATGACTAATAATTGAAAATAATGGGAACTCTGTGGAATTTTCTTTGTATGTCATCATGAAATTGCTGTGTAACAAACAACCAAGATCCAAAATAGCAAGACTGGGAGGTACGACTGCAGAAAAAAATTCATCCCATGATAAGAACCAATGGGTTGAAACTGTCCAATAAACGTTGCTTAATGAAGCCCAGGAGCGATTATAAACATCCAATGAATGGTAGATATTATTATAAAAGTAATATTGAGAAACAACAAAAATATAATTTTCAACAATAAAATATTAAAGTATGATACATCAATATAATAGAATAATATACCAGTAGATATTATGAAGAGAGAAATAATGAAGAGATGCACAGAAGACAGACATGTTATTAAATAAATGGTCCAATGGTTTTGTTGATATGCACATTTATATTATCTACACATATTTAGGAGGATAGACTTAGTAAAATATAACAGATGATCAGAGTGTTTAATTCTGTGAATAATTTTTATTTTGTAATTTTTCTTATCTACACTTAGTAAATTTTCTTTCATGTATCTACTCATCCTGTAATTAGAGGAAAAAAGATGATGCTATCTATCCCCAAATCTCCTGCTATAATTTTACCCCTGTCCTATCTGTTGAAGAACTCTTATTTGGGCAATAACTGTTCATAATTTTGTTCACAAAGAGTTTGTGTGCTGCAGGAAGAGACCAACAAGAAACAGAAGATCAGTCAGTGCATGGGTAGATGACATCTGTGCATCCCATTGTGTGAAAAATAATCTGCTGATTTTGCCCTTTGTTCTAAAATAAATTCATTACATAGGCCATATCATGACTGCTTCTCAACATCTTTATGTGTAAAGATGCTTTATATTTGCAAAGCTGTATCTGATTTGCTTTCAATATTCTAGTTCTGGAAACGGCAAACCTAGGTGATTTGACCCTGCTTTCTGTTTTATCAGTAAAACTTCCTCTCCTCTCTTCTGCTCCTCTTTGCAGGCAATAAGACAGCTGTGTATCATCTATGACTGCTGTGAGCATGGGGAGTGTTCCAGGCTAAGTAGGCCTTGGAAGGAGCTGAGAGCATTGCTCTACTGGGACTTCAATTCTGAACCTGAGGGAGTCATGATGACCTCCCCAGAGTTTTTTCTGCTTTGCTAGGTTTGCCCATTTCCCAAATTTCTAGATTGCTATCCCTATACTAAAAGATTACATTGTCAGAGTTGAGACCATGTTGAGCTTTTCTTTGCATGCTCCACCACACCGAGGCCGGTCTTCGGCATATGAGGGGCTAACTTGGAGTGAACTGAATTCGTACTGTGTGAAAATATTAAAAGCCTTGAAAATTCATGTGACCCTGCACTAAAACAGATAAAGTTTAGTATAAAAATTTTGGGGTCAAGAATGAAAAGGAGAAGAGATTATTATAAAGTAAGTGTACAAATAAGGTTTTTACTTATATACAAAATGTTTTTGGTTTTTTTTTCTTTTTATTACCTCAATTTGGTTCTGTGTCTATGGCTTGTATTCAAAAGTTGAATCCTTCGGAATCATTGAGCTATTATCATTCCCTATCCCATGTAAAGGAAAACACATCTAGTATGAAGAACTCAGGAATGTTAGTTAAGGGAACCTGTATTGTCACAGGGTCTCCATCACTTACTTTTTTATGTTTCCTTGCAAATCATAGATACTGAATTTTGAATTGCCAATAAAAAAGAAAAGAAAGAGTAAAACGTGGCTCTACAGCAATAGTTATAATACTCTTTAGATAACAGCCTTTTAATCAACCTATGTTTTATTGATATCTGTTTATATCATCTCCAAAAGTAAATATGCAGGAGGATTGGAGTGAACAGAGACAACCCATAACATTTGCTCTGCATGACACCACTTGTAAGCATTTCCAAACCCATGTGGACACTGGAAATTTACACTTTGTTTTTAACTATTTTACTCTTATTACTCTTTCTACTGCTTTCTACAGTGGTATTTCTACAACCTTGCTCTCTTATGTCACTATCTGTAACCAACATTCCCTAGTAAAACAGTTAACAGCAGAATGGATGTGTTTGCATTCCATGGTTCTACTGCTCTCCAGGCTTTAGCTTCTCTTTTCCTTCTCCAGTAATTTCAGAATGTGCTTCTGAGGATCCCTGCTCCTGGGTTTACTGTGTTGTGTGTGCAGATGTGTATGTAATGGGCTGATAATGAAAAGGTGGACATGCAAAGCACTCAGGAAACTGCTCCTAATTCCTCTCAAAGCTACCTTCATTTAAGCATTAAAAGAAAAGAAAAGAAACAGAAAGTGCTCCACTTCCAAAGGAGTGCAGCCTACTTGCCCCACACTGCACTTTCTGTCCAGCACTCTCCCACCTCCAACCCCTGCCAATTACGGAGGCTTATTAATGACTCTCAGACTTCCAGAGTTTGTTTCTAGGAGATCTCCCAATGCTTACACACATCGCTTAATGCCACATGCTTTCATGCCCCTAGTGTCATTTCACTAACCGACTGAGAAATGATCATCCTAAAAAGAAGAGCGTTTTAAACATGGTACCAAAGGGACTGACAGAGCAAACGCACAGGGAAAGGCGTTGCTTATACCTCCAGGGATACTAGACACCAAACAAAATATTGGACATTGGCAAGAAACTAATGAGAAAGAAGACAAACATGTAACATTTCAAAAAAGAAGAGAGTGTTGAATAAATTTTCAAAGAGCAACAAAGCTGTATGTGTTAGTTAAAAATAAACATTCATACAGAGTGTTCTTGGTCTAAGGAGAATTGGTACTAAGGGTAGAAAGCAATAAAACAGGGGAGAGGTCAGGAGTTCGAAACCAGCCTGACGGACATGGTGAAACCTTGTCTCTACTAAAAATACAAAAATTAGCCGGGCGTGGTGGCAGGTGCCTGTAATCCCAGCTACTCCGGAGGCTGAAGCAGGAGAATCGCTTAAACCGAGAGGTGGAGGTTGCAGTGAGCAGAGACGGGGTCTTGGAACTCCATCCAGCCTGGGCAACAAGAGTGAAACTCCATCTCAAAGAAAAAAAAAATAGGAGAATGGGGGAAAAAAAGAAGCAAGCTTTTAATTTGAGACATTTATTTATTTGTGCTTTTATTATTGACATTTTTCTTCACTTTTAGAATTCAAACCAGGACAAATGAACAGGGAGTGCTGTATGCCTCTCTATAAAATGTTATCAATTCAAATCTCTGTTGAAGTTTACCTTTATAGTATATGGGGTAAAAATGATTAGTAAGCATACAAATAGTTTAAACAAGATAGAAAGGGAATGTTTATTCTTTACTTGCTAAGATTACTATTTCTTTGCTTAAGTTAAGCAGACAGCAGACAATGAACCAACTTAAAGAGAATATTTGCAACATGTCTCACAGATAAAGGGATAATAATATACCTAATATTTAAAGAACTCTTAAAGAATACGGAGAAATTAAAAAAACAAAACCCAATATAACAATGAATAAAGGATATGAACAGACAATTCACGGAAACGATATATGATGTCACAAATAGCACAAACAGCTCAAGTAAATGAAAAGATGTTCAGCCATACTTATAATAAAATAAATGCAGGTTAAAACTATACCAACATGTCATAAGTAGAGTTTTTAGAGTGTGATAACATACTCTGTTGGCAAAGCTGTGGGAAAGCCGGAACTCTAATGTATTGCTGAAGTGATGCAAACTGATTCAGCCCTTATGAAGGCGAATTTGGTAACATCTAGAAAAACAACATATATGTTGGTCTTTTGAACTTAGAGTCCTACTTGTAGAAATTACCTTAAAGCTACACCTCCAATAGTATGAAAATATATTTGCAGAGGGTCAGCATTACTTTTCACTGCAAAATATTAGAAACAAATGATAAAGCAGAGAGGTTCACACTGTGGGATGATTACAGTTAACAATAACACATTTTTTCAAATAGCCAGAGGGAGGGTATTATTGAATGTTCCCAACACAAAGAAATGATAAATGTTTGAGATGATGGACATGCTAATTATCCTAATCTGAGCTCTATGTATTACATGTATTGAAACATCACTATGCACCCCATGAATACATACAATTATATTTGTCATTATTTAAATATTAAGCTAAATTTTTTAAAAAGGAAGTGGCTCAATAGTACATAAGAAAATATCCTTATATCTTCTCCTTCATTCAAAAAAGAAACATAAGAAAGAAATAAGGAACTAATAACTGGAACTTACTGGGGTGAGGGGGCAGAAGGGCACTGAGTGGAAAAGATAGGCGGATGGAAAAGATGAAAGCAATAAGTGGCACAGTGACATGCCTCTGAGTTTACCTCTTTGAACACTTCTGGCTTTGAGATTAAGATAGAAACCCACATGGAATATATACAGAAAAGAATAAACTGAAATATATTTTAAATGAATAACATAAGTGTACTGAAGAGAAAAAAAACTAATGCAAATTACTTCCGAATATATTATTTGGACTGTATGTCTTCAGGCTAAAGAAAAATAGGAATGAACAAATGCTGAGCTCTGGGCATAGGCTTCTTCTCCACAGAGGTATGGGTAAGCAATTCTGGCATTACTGTGTATTCTAGAATTATGAAAATAAGCAAATGGATTGTGGACATTGGGAGTCTTATTTCTCACTATTGAAGAAGGCCATTATAAATACTGAAAAGGGAAAACGATGGTATTTAATGGGAAATGGAGAAATCAGTAGGAATTCACAGTGTGTATATACATACTACATATATAAACTCACAAATATCTATGTCTTATCTCTTTCCACTGAGAGAACCTACAATTAATAATACCCTCATAGCAATAAGCACACGTAATGCTTAGCTCTTGGTTTCTAAATCCTATGTATTAAAAGAAGCCAGGGATCTTTCTTTGGGAAATGGCTGATTCTAAGGCTGGAGCTGGGAAAATACAAAATGAGCCTGGATCAACTTGTCACAGAAAGTAAGGAAATGCTCAAAGAATGATGGGGACATGTCAAAGCTAGCTTAAAGAAACTGACACTGAACAGACCTCAGAATTATCATCCTGGTTTCATTTTATTTAACCACCAAAATAAATAATGACAATAAAAAACTATAACCCACTGAGTAAAATAGGAATCTGAGTTCATGGTGATAAAAATATCTTTTAAAAATGAAAAAACCTATTTTTATAGTAGCAAACCAACCAATAAATGTAGAAGAAATAAAGTACTGAGAAAATCACCATTAAGAAACCACCATATAAATAATTAATTCAGGGAAGTATTGCTTAACATGTTAAAATCAAAGTAAAAGCTTGAGGAACAGTGAGATGTTTACATAATTTCAAATTAGCTCCCCCAACAGATACTAATTAAATAGAAAGAAAAAAATAGAAACTTAACCATGGAGAAACCTGGCAGACATGAGGAAATCAAAGCTACCAGCACTAGTAATAGGACAAAGCAACATCATTATGTCTCCTGATAGAGTCCCCTAAAAAGGACACAGTATCACCTCTGCACTTTTTCTGCCCCAAATTCATTATCAGAATATCAACATGAGAAAACATCAGACAAGCCCAAATGGAGAAACAGTCTACTATGTTAATGTCCTGATTTTTAATATTTGCACTATGGTTATGTAAGATAATATCCTGATTTTAGGAAACATGTAGTCAAGTATTGCAGTAGCCAATTTTGGATGGCTATAAATACCTGAGGCTGGGTACTATCTAAGGAAAAGAGGTTTATTTTGGCTCACGGTTCTGCAGACTGTACAAGAAGCATGGTGCCAGCACCTGCTTCCCGTCAGGACCTCAGGAAGCTTTTACACATGCTGGACAGAGCAAAAGAGAGAGAGGAGGAGGAGCCGGGCTTTTTTAAACAACCAGCTCTGGCATAAACTAATAGAGTGAGAACTCACTTATTACTGGGGGAAGGCACAAAACCATTCATGAGGGATCCTACCAGACTACCACAACTCCTCCCACCAGGCCCCACCACCAACACTGGGCTCACATCTCAACATGAGATTTGGAGGGAACAAATATTCAAACTATATCAAATATTTATAAATTAAAAAGTCCACTATGTCAGTAGCTTACTCTCATAAAGTTCAGAAAATATCCCTAGGGACATGTGTGTGCATCTGTACATGTATAGAGGAAGAGGGTAAAGGAAAAAAATACAGTAAACATCTGGGTTAAACATATATATTGGAGTTCTGCATACTATTTGTGTGACTTTTCTGTATGTCTGAAATTACACAAAAAGATTTTTAAAAATAGAAGACAACTTAAACATGTTACATCCCCTTCTGCAATTTTCCAGCAGCTTTTATCAGAAAGCTTAGTAAGGACAGAGAAGCTCAAAGCCCCTGTCTCACTTCCTACCCCGGACCTACACGCAAAACCACAAGAACAAAATGTGATTAACAATATATGCCAGAGGCTGGCAAAAATACCATCTCCTCCAGTTGCCCCTCTGCTTCAGCATAGGGGAGGTAGGAACAGAAAGGACCTCTCCCTTCTAGATTACACTCATCCTGGCTAATAGTACAGCTTTTCCTAAGTGAACTCCTGCCTCCTCAAAGAGGGAAAATTAGCCTCATTTCTACTAGGCTATTTCCATTTTAAATGTTCCCTAGTTAAACATCTACAGGTTTCGCAGTGATACTCACTTAACACTTTCTCTACATAAGTGAGGCAGCTGTGAAAAATAAAAAAAGAGTAAGAATGCCAGACCTTGTTTCAGAAACTGTAAATTCATGTCTTTGTGTCCCTGCTCTGCATTCATGAGCTGTCTACCTTTGGGCAAATCACTTGAACTTTTTAAACTGTTTCCACATCTGTAAAACTGGGCTCCCATACTTGTTGCAAAGATAAAATATAAAAATGCACATGAAACACATTATAAACTGTAATACACTATATGCCATCATGTCTTTATATGAGTGTGCCAAAGAAAAACACCTCATTTTCTGATTTGTTTTCTCTTACTGTCACTTTTTGTGTATAGTTAAGGGAAATGGTACTGCAAGTCAGGTGTTCTAAACTACTGGCTCTGAATAATCACTTTGGAGCTTAAGTTGATCTTTTTATGTCAAGAAAAAAAGCAAATCACAATTTTGATAACTATATGCACTATACTTCTTGGGAGCCAGCTTCCTCCCTTCTCTTCCCCTAAGAATGGAACAGGTTTTTGCACACAGATATTGCTCAAGGTTGGTGCAAAAGTAATTGCAGGGTTTTTTTTTGTTGTTGTTGTTTTTGGTTTGTTTGTTTTTAGTGATCCTCCCAAAGTGCTGGGATTACAGGTGTGAGCTACTGTGCCCGGTTGGAATTTTCTTTTTTCTTTCTTTATTTCAGTTTTTGTATTTTTTCCCATAAGTTATTGGGGTACAGGTGGTATTTGGTTACATAAGTTCTTTAGTGATTCATGAGATTTTGGTGCACCCATCACCCGAGCAGTATATGCTGCACCATATTCGTAGTCTTTTATCCCTCGCCACCCTCCCACTCTTCCCCCTACATCCCCAGAGTCTATTGTGTCATTCTTATGCCTTTGTGTCCTAATAGCTTAGATCCCACATAACAGTGAGAACATATGATGTTTGGTTTTCCATTCCTTAGAATAATAGTTTCCAGTCTTATCCAGGTCACTGCAGATGCTGTTAATTCATTCCTTTTATGGCTGCATAGTATTCCATCATAATATATATGTTGTATATGTATGTGTATATATATATACTTATATATATATATATATACACATACATACACACACACACACACACACACACATATAGCACAGTTTCTTTATCCACTCATTGATTGATGGGCCTTTGGGTTGGTTCCACAATTTTGCAATTGTGAATTGTGCTGCTATCAACATGCGAGTGCAAGTATCCTTTTCAAATAATGACTTCTTTTCCTCTGGGTAGATACCCAGTCGTGGGATTGCTGGATCAAATGGTAGTTCTATTTTTAGTTCTTCAAGTAATCTCCATACTGTTTTCCATAGTGGTTGTACTAGTTTGCATTCCCACCAGCAGTGTAGAAGTGTTCCCTGTTCACCACATCCATGCCAACATCTACTGTTTTTTGATTTTTTGATTATGGCCATTCTTGCAGGAGTAGGTGGTACTGCATTGTGATTTTGATTTGTGTTTCCCTGATCATTAGTGAGGTTGAGCATTTTTTTCATGTTTATTGATCACTTTTTCATATGTTTGTTGACCATTTGTATATCTTCTTTTGAGAATTGTCTATTCATGTCCTTAGCCCACTTTTTGATGGGATTTTTTTTTTCTTACTGATTTGTTTGAGTTCATTGTGGATTCTGAATATTAGCCCTTTGTCAGATGTATAGATGGTGAAGATTTTCTTCCACTGTGTGGGTTGTCTGCTTACTCTGCTGACTGTTTCTGTTGTTGTGCAAAAGCTCTTTAGTTTAATTAGGTCCCAGCTATTTATCTTTGTTTATGTTGCATTTGCTTTTGGGTTCTTGGTCATGAAATCCTTCCATAAGCCAATGTCTAGAAGGGTTTTTCCAGTGTTATCTTCTATAATTTTTATAGTTTCAGGTCTTACGTTTCAGTCCTTAGTCCATCTTGAGTTGATTTTTGTGTAAGGTGAGAGATGACAATCCAGTTTCATTCTCCTACATGTGACTAGCCAATTATCCCAGCACCATTTGTTGAAAAGGGTGTCTTTCCCCGCTTTATGTTTTTGTCTGCTTTGTTGAAGATCAGCTGGCTGTAAGTATTTGGGTTTATTTCTGGGTTCTTTATTCTGTTCCATTGGTCTATGTGTCTATTTTTATACCAGTTACATGCTGTTTTGGTGACTATGGCCTTATAGTATAGTTTGAAATCAGGTAATGTGATACCTCCAGACTTGTTCTTTTTGCTTAGTCTTGCTTTGGCTACGCAGGCTCTTTTTTGGTTCCACGTGAATTTTAGAATTGTTTTTTCTAATTCTGTGAAGAATGATAGTGGCATTTTGTTGAGAACAGCATTGAATTTGTAGATTGCTTTTAGCAGTATTGTGTCATTTTCACAATATTGAGTCTACCCATCCATGAGCATGGGATATGTTTCCATTTGTTTGTGTCATCTATGATTTCTTTCAGCAGTGTTTTGTAGTTTTCCTTGTAGAGGTCTTTTGACTCTTTGGTTAGGTATATTCCTGAAGTATTTTATTTTATTTTACTTTGTTTTATTTTATTTTATTTTATTTTCAGCTATTGTAAAAGTGGTTGAGCTCTTGATTTGATTCTCCCATTGGTCATTATTGGTGTATAGAAGAGCTACTGATTTGCGTACATTAATCTTGTATCCAGAAACTTTGCTGAATTCTTTGATCAGTTTTAGGAACTTTCTGGAGGAGTCCTTAGGGTTTTCAAGGTAAACAATCGTATTGTCAGCAAACAGGGACAGTTTGACTTCCTCTTTATCGATGTGAATGCCCTTTATTTCTTTCTCTGGTCTGATTGCTCCAGCTAGGACTTCCGGTACTATGTTGAAGAGAAGTGGTGAGAGTGGGCATCTTTGTCTTGGGCATCTGTTTTTCTGTGTTTCCAGGATTTGCTTCAAGATTTAGAGCTCCTTCAACTTTTCCCTGTTGAGCGTTATATTGGCTGTGGGTTTGTCATAGATGGTTTTTATTACATTAAAGTATGTCCCTTGTATGCCAATTTTGCTGAGAGTTTTAATTGTAAAGTGATGCTAGATTTTGTCGAATGCTTTTTCTGCATCTATTGAGATGATCATCTGATTTTTGTTTTTAATTCTGTTTATGTGGTGTATCTCATTTATTGACTTGCATTTGTGAAACCATCCCTGCATCCTTGGTATGAAACCCACTGGATCATGGTGGATTACCTTTTTGATATGTTGTTGGATTTGGTTAGCTAGTATTTTGTTAAGGATTTTACCATCTATGTTCGTCAAGGATATCAGTCTGTAGTTTTCTTTTTTGGTTATGTCCTTTCCTGGTTTTGGTATTAGGGTGATGCTGGCTTTGTAGAATGAATTAGGGAAGGTTCCTTCTTTCTCTATGTTGTGGAATAGTGTCAAAAGGATTGGTTCTTTGAATGTCTGGTAGAATTCTGCTGTGAATCCATCTGGTCCTGGACTTTTTTTTGTTGGTAATTTATCAACCTCGCTGTTTGTTATTGGTCTGTTAAGGGTATCTAATGCTTCCTGATTTAAACTAGAAGAAATGTATTTTTCCAGGAATTTGTCCATCTCTTCTGTTTTCTAGTTTATGTGTGTAAATATGTTCATAGTAACCTTGAAGATCTTTTGTATTTCAGTGGTATCACTTGTAATATCTCCTGTTTTGTTTGTTAGTGAGGTTATTTGGATTTTCTCTCCTTTTTTTTCTTGGTTAATCTTGTTAATGGTCTGTCAATTTTATTTTTCTTTTCAAAGAACCAGCTTTTTGTTTCATTTATCTTTTGTGGGTTTTTTTGTTTTGTTTTAATTTCATTTAGTTCTGCTCTGATCTTGGTTATTTCCTTTCTTTTGCTGGGTTTGAGTTTGGTTTCTTCTTGTTTCTCTAGTTCCTTGAGGTATGACTTTAGAGTGTCAGTTTGTGCTCTTTCAGTCTTTCTGATGTAGGCATTTAGGGCTATGAATTTTCCTCTTGGCACCACCTTTGCTGTATCCCAGAGGTTTTGATAAGTTGTATCATTATGGTCATTCAGTTCAAAAAAATTTTAATTTCCATTTTGATTTCATTTATGACCCAGTGATCATTCAGGAGTAGGTTATTTAATTTCCATGTATTTGCATGGTTTTGAACTTTCCTCTTGAAGCTGATTTCCAGTTTTATTCCACTGTGGTCTGAGAGAAGGCTTGATATAATTTCAGTTTTCTTAAATTTATTGAGACTTGTTTTATGGCCTTTCATGTGCTCTACCTTAGAGAAAGTTCCATGCACTGTTGAATAGAATGTGTATTCTGTGGTTATTGGATGAAATATTCTGTATATATCTGTTAAGTCCATTTGTTTCAATGTATAGTTTAAATCCATTGTTTCTTTGTTGATTTTCTGTCTTGATGACTTGTCTAAGTGCTGTCAGTGGAGTACTGAAGTCCCCCACTATTACTGTGTTGCTGTCATCTCATTTCTTAGGTCTATTAGTAATTGCTTTATAAATTTGGGAGCTCCAGTGTTAGGTGCGTATATGTTTAGGATTGTGATATTTTCCTGTTGGACAAGGCCTTTTACCATTATATAATGTCCCTCTTTGTCTCTTTTAACTGCTGTTGCTTTAAAGTTTGTTTTGTCTGATATATCTACCCCTGTTTGCTTTTGGTGTCCATTTGCATGAAATGCCTTTTTCCACCCCTTTACTTTAAGTTTATGGGAGTCCTTGTTTGTTAGGTGAGTCTCCTGAAGGCAGCAAATGGTTGGCTGGTGAGTTCTTATCCATTCTGCTGTTCTGTAAGTTTTAAGTGGAGCATTTAGACCATTTACATTCAGTGTTAGTATTGAAATGTGAGGCACTATTTCACTCATCGTGCTCTTTGTTGCTGGTGTACTTTGGGGTTTTTTTTTTTTTTGGTTGTTTTTGCTTTTTTAACTTCTATTTTTGTTTTATAGGTTCTGTGTGATTTCTGTTTTGTTGTGTTTCCAGGAATTGCTTTCAAGATTTAGAGCTCTTTCAGCAGTTCTTGCAGTTGTGGCTTGCTAATGGTATATTCTCTCAGCATTTGTTTGTCTGAGAAAGACCATGCCTTTTCTTCATATATGATGCTTAGTTTTGCTGGATACAAAATGTTTGGCTGATAATTGTTTTGTTTGAGGAGGCTGAAGATGGGTCCCCAATCCCTTCTGGCTTATAGGGTTTCTGCTGAGAAATCTGCTGTTAATCTGATAGGTTTTCCTTTATAGCTTACCTGGTGCTTCTGTCTCACAGTTCTAAAGATTCTTTCCTTCATCTTAAGTTTGGATAACCTGATGACAATGTGCCTAGGTGATGATCTTTTTGTGATGAATTTCCTGGGTATTCTTTTCACTTCTTGTATTTGGATGTCTAGGTCTCCAGCAAGGCTGGGAAAGTTTTCCTCGGTTATTCACCCAAATGTGTTTTCCAAGCTTTTAGAATTCTCTTCTTCCTCAGGAACACCAATTATTTTTAGGTTTGGTCATTTAACATAACCCCAGGCTTCTTGGAGGCTTTGTTCATTTTTTCTTATTCGTTTTTCTTTGTCTTTGTTCGATTGGGTTCATTCAAAGACCTTGTCTTCGAGCTCTGAATTTCTTTCTACTACTTGTTCAATTCTATCGCTGAGACTTTCCAGAGCATTTTGCATTTCTAAAAGTGTATCCAAAGTTCCCTGAATTTTTGATTGTTTTTTTCTTTAAGTTATATATTTCCTTGAATATTTCTCCCTTCACTTTTTGTATCATTTTTTGGATTTCCTTGCATTGGCCTTTGCCTTTCTCTGGTCCCTCCCTGATTGGCTTAATAACTAACCTTCTAAATTCTTTTTCAGATAAATCAGGAATTTCTTCTTGGTTTGGATCCATTACTGGTGAACTAGCGTGATTTTTTGGGAGTGTTGAAGAGTTTCATTTTGTCATACTACCAGTTGGTTTTCTAGTTTCTTCTCATTTGGGTAGGCTTTGTCAGAAGGAAGGTCTAAGGCTGAAGGCTATTGTTCAAATTCTTTTGTCCCACAGGGTGTTACCTTGATGTAGTACTCTCCCCCTTTTCCTACAGATGTGGCTTTCTGTGAGCTGAACTGTAGTGATTGTTGTCTCTCTTCTGGGTCTAGCCACCCAGTGAGTCTACCCAGCTCTGGGCTGGTGCTGGGGGTTGTCTGCACAGAGTCCTATGATGTGAACTGTCTATGGGTCTCTCAGCTTTGGATACCAGCACCTGTTCTGGTCTAATTGCAGTTTTGGACGATGAATTTTAAATCATTATAACTAGGCTCAAACACATCTTTATCAATCAAAATAGGAACCATTACAATCAACACATTTTTGCCAATGAGAAGTAAGTTTGTTTATTCCTGTAGCATAAAAATCCATGCCTTGGGATTTGACAAACTCTTAGAAAGCATTTTCTGCATCCTGCTCATTGTGGAAGTGTTTTCCCTGCAAAATATTTTTGAGATGCTTGAAGAAGTGATAGCCAGTTGGCCAGAGGTCTGGTGAATATGGTAGATGAGGCAAAACTTTGTAGCCCAATTCCTTCAACTTTTTGTGTTGGCTGTGCAGCATGCAGTCAGACGTTGTCATGGAGAAGAATTGGGTCCTTTCTGTTAACCAATGCTGGTTTTAGGCAGTAGAGTTTTTGGTGCATCTCATTGATTTGCTGAGCATACTTCTCAGATGTAATGATTTTGCTAGGATTCAAAAAGCTGTAGTGGACCAGATCAGCAGCAGACCACCGAACAGTGACCATGACCTTTTTTTTTGGTGCAGGTTTGGCTTTGAGAAGTGCTATGGAACTTCTTCTCGGTGCAACCACTGAGCTGGCCATCGCCAGTTATCATATAAAATCCACTTTTCATTGCATGTCACAATTTGATCAAGAAATAGTTCATGTTGTTGCATAGAATAAGAGAATACAACACTTCAAAACAATGATTTTTTTTTCACTTAGTTCACGAGGCACCCACTTATCAAGCTTTTTTCTTTCCAATTTGCTTCAAATGCTGAATGACCATAGAATGGTTGATATTAAGTTTTGGGGCAACTTCTCATGTAGTTGTAAGAGGATCAACTTCAATGATTGCTCTCAATTGGTCGTTGTCAACTTCTTGTGGCTGGCTACTACGCTCCTCATCTTCAAGTCTCTCGTCTCCTTTGTAAAACTTCTTGAACGATCACTGCACTGTACGTTCATTAGCAGTTCCTGGGCCAAATATGTTGCTGATGTTGTGAGTTGTCTCCACTGCTTTACAACCCATTTTTGAACTCGAATAAGAAAATCACTCAAATTTGCTTTTTGTCTAACATCATTTCCATAGTCAAAAATAAATATAAAATAAACATCAAGTAATAAGTCATTTGCAAAACAAATACATAAAGTGATAAATGTGCATTAAAATGATGTATAATATAACCACATTTATTTAAGAATGTAATCCAATATCAAACAGCAAATTTCCACAATGCAAAAACTGCAATTACTTTTGCACCAGCCTATATCACCTGAGCTAATCATATCCTGAGTTGGCCATCATATAGGTACTAAATGTGTCATGTCTCACAACCCCGACCCATAAGAGGCTTCATCATGGCCTCTGCTATCTGAACCAACAGAGGATAATCCAAGTTTACCAGTCAAAGAAGCTGTATGGGAAAGACGTGTTCAACCAAGGAGGCCCAGTAGGCCACGGTGGGCCATTACAATGGCACTGATTCCATTTTCTGGCCTTCCCACAACGTCAACTTCTGTACCTATTGGACTCTTGGGAAAAATAATTTGGCTGCTTCTGCCCAAGAGTTTTTACAGTAAAGCCGCTGTTTCTTGGCAAATACATAAATAACATCAAGACAGAAAACCCAGGTAAGTTGGAATTGGCAGAGTCCTGTGACCTCAAAGAGCCCCAGCTCTACTTTGTAGCTTGTGGTGACCCATGCTTTTTCTGAGTGCATCTGCATTATCATAATGGTTGTTTGGTAGGAGTAGGGTGGGGCCAAATCATCCAGGCAACTCAGTCTCTGGACCACTGCCAACCAGCCAGCTGGCCGGCTGCATCCAGGTCTTGAGACATGGAGCTGTGCTGGGGATTTTAGTCCTATGCAAAGTCACCTAAGGTGAAGTCAGATGATTCAGCTCTTTTTTTGGCTGCATTTCTCAAAGCCTTTTACATAGGCATGTGCCTCTGTCAACATTCTTCCTTCCAAGAGTTTGTGCAGGCCCATCTGGAAGCCCACCACTTCATGACCAGTGATATGGGCACACACATTTTCCCATCCTGTTCAGGATCCCTGGGTCCTGGGCTTCCAAATCAGCAAATGCACCCAGCAGACTGTTTAAATGAACTGTCATCCCTGTCACTCTGCTCAGAATGGGAACCTCTCCCTGCTTGACTGGAGACGCATGGGTGTTCCAAGATTTGGCACAAAACCTTGTAAAATGAGGCCAAGTTTCTCTCCCTTTGACTTTATATATTCTATTTGGATACCCTCCTCTGTCCCCCACTGACCCCCCCCCACTGGAATACTGCTGAAGAGACCATCTGCCACAAATGCCCATACCCAGTGATCAAAATATTTTAGCTTCTTTCCCAGCTTGGTGTCAGCGACAAAATATGTGAGGCTTGCAAACTGGCCTTTCAGTATTTAAGCCTCTTTAAAAGCCAGGTGACATTGCCATCCTATTTGGCTCTGTTAGCCATCACCAGAAGACATGATGTTTTATGGTGAATTTCTCCTCATCAGATGAAAACCAAGTCTAAATATGAAAGGATTTGAGAAGAGGCACAGCTGTGGTCTTGTGCTCTGCCATATTATTTCAGAAAGATGAAAACTAAACAAATGACAAATAATGGCCCTGGCAAGCCCAGAGACTGGGAGGATCTTGGATGTCAGGGAGAGACACCAGCTTTAGAAAGCTAACACCTGTTCTCAGATGGTCATGCATCACACTCATACCCACATAATATTATGCCTGGGGACCCAACAGCAAATAGGCTGCTCTCATTCCTGACAAAGCAAGGCACACATAAAAGTCCTTCTGCTCTTCTCCGTTGCCAGTGAAGGCCAAAGGATAAAGTCAAGATACTCTCTAACTGAGCTCCTCTTCAATGTGGCTGTCTTACTTTAAATATCTAGTTTCGAAAAAGAACGGCCATCTTGAACTTTGACCCCAACAACTGGCCATCAGGGTAATGAAACAGCTATGACAGACCCTAATGACAGTGAAATGAATTCTAGCCAGTAACATATTAGGCTTTTCCAGGGCCCTCTCATTTAATCATAAGAACGGTCCCTCAATGATGGGCTTCAAATAACATAATTTTTGACAATAAGAGAATGTATACAGCAACAACTCAAACTATATTTACTACACAACCTCTGCACCAAACCCTAAGAGGTATTAAGTTCAACATTTTCTGTCTGTTTTACAGAGAGATTTTTGATGTGTAAACCATCATTTATGCTGTCTTTGATTCTTTTCCAATGACCTTTTTTAGAGTAGTGGCAGTATAACTCTCTCACTACAGCAGTCTCCAGCACCATTCCCGGACAGGCCTCATAAAGCTGGCCTTTCACATTAATCGATCACCTTATTATGGGAGTAAATCAAAGCAGTTAAGCCCAGGCTTCCTGGGAGTTGAAGGTCAAATGGGGAGAGTCAACCTTATTCTGACAAAAAGCTCTGTAAAGAAATTCTTTCAGACCTTTTTCCTTGCATCCACTTGCTTTCATAATATATGTATGTACTATAACCATGCAGTATATAGTACATACTTTCATGTATGTACTATAACCATGTGTCTCAGATTTCCTGGGTCACTTTTCATCTAGCATGGAAGAAGTACTGAGAGCCGCGTCGTATGTCAGGCCATACTTCCTAATGCTTAGACCAGAAAATATGATTACCCTATCGGTTGTTGAATGTGCGTGCCAACATATACATTTTATGAAAGTAAATGCGAGGCTTACCACACTTACAACAAACTCTTGGAATTCAGTTTCAACAGTTTCTACATTTCCCAAACAACTGCCAAAGATTTATGACACATAAGAAACACTACTAGTTATCTACTTTGTAGAGTTTTCATGAGAATTAAATTTGTTCATGTACAGATCTTAGCTGGAGTCCTCTAGAAAGATTATCTGGAAACAAAGATTATGTTAAGAATAATTTATGTGGGATTCCCAGCCTAAGGTGGAGACAGTGAGGGTAGAAGGGAAATGGAGGTACAATGAAATGCATTGTGATGTGTTCTATGCTGGTTACTTAACAAGCAGCTAAGAAGACAGTGCATTGCTCAGCAGGTGTTCTTTCCACACACAGGACTTCAATGGTATTTTTGTGGGAGGGTTGCAAAGAGTTGCTGTATCTTAAAGCAGCCCACAAAAGATAGAAAGGAAGAGAACGTATCTGTCTGGCTCCTTTTTGCCTCTGACTTCCAGTGGCCAATGTTCACTTTGCAGAGAGCTAACTCCTTTCTACTACCAATAGCATCATCTGGTCCCTTGGCAGGCACTTTGAAAGCTAGATTCCATGCCTTGGCCCAGTCTCAAAATGGAGAGGTAGAAGATGCAAGTTGAATGTTGAAGGACAAGGATGTGGTTGGGGAAATCTGAGAAGCCACTGAAGAATTGTACCCTCCCCATTGTACCTTACCATGCAGTATGCAAAGAACTCAGAACAGAGCCTAGCACAGGGGGAAGACCATGCAAGTGCCTTCATTAGTGTTCACAGCTCCCTGAGAGTAAACCATGAAGGGATGAGAGTGGTGTTTCATTCAGAAAACAAGCTCCAAACAGAAAATCAATTGTGCTGGTAATAAAAGAAAATAAAAATTGAGATTTAGGAAAATGGCTCCTTCTTGATTAGTAAAAAAGAAATGTTGGATAAGCTAAAAAGAAGAACATAGAAACCAGCAGCTGCCCAACTCCATGAAAGGAAAGAGTCCAACACATACTGCATGTGGAAATAAGAAAAAGTTTCTGATAAAACCTTATCAGTACCTGCTCCTCCCTCATGGCAGTGTGCTGCAGTGATGTCAGAGAAGTCTATAGCTGGGAGCAAGGAGAGGAGGAAGGAAATTGGCAAGATGGCCAAAAGAAAGGGTGGGGAGGAATGGTATAAAGAAGGGAGGAATTTGACTTCTTTCAAACAATCACATGAGAAAAGCCATGAAGCTAAACAGCTGAAATAAATATCCTCCCCAAATTATATGTCTTATTAGAAGACTGCTGGAAAATATTTTAGGCCGAATGTGGAAAATATAGAGGATTCACAAGTCTTTGAGGATGAAGGTGGGGGTAGATGAAATACTTACTCACAGATCAATGCACAGCTCTTGGAACAATGCTGGAATATACTAATGCTATGGAAATATTTTCTACTAGTATCAACTATTACAATTACCTTACTCTTTCTTTACTTAATAAAAAAATTTCTTCCTTAACCCAAACCAAAAGTACCTGTATTCAGGCTCACAGCATCTTAAAGAAGCAAAAATGTTCTATATGGTGATCAGTCAACTAACATTCACATGTAGGGAAATTTGGCAGTATCTATCAAAATAAGTGCACATTATGCTATGACCTAAGCAATTCTGTTTCTAGGAATGTACACAATGGAAATGTCTTTTCACAAATGAATGAAATAACCTATGTAGAAAGTTATTTATTGTAACCTTTCTGTAATAACAAATGTTCAAAAGAATATCTAAATGTTTATTAATAGCTGGTTAAACAAATGTGTCCACAGAATGGAGTATTTATTTGGTAGCCATGGAAAGAATAAGGAACTACTCTTCCTAATTATAAGGAAAGTTCCAAGATATATGGTCCAATAAAGTGAAAAACTCAAAATATAGCACAGCATGTATAGAAGGCAATCATTTGTGAATAAAGAGGGAATACATGTGAGGGTGTGTGTGTGTGTGTAAGTGTGTATGTGTAAGTGTGTGTGTGTATATATTGTATAAAATAGCTCTGGAAGAATCCATAAGAAAACTAATATCTTTGTCTACTGGGAGAAGGATTGGCTGACAGAAAGAAAAGGTGGGGAGGGAGGGAGATGTTTCCCTATGTACTTTTTCTTATATACTTTTGAATGTCTTTGGGCCATGTAAATGTACTATTCATTTAAATAAAATAAAATGGAAGTGACTTATCTTCTTTATTTTTAAAGAATTGAAATAGAATGTGCTTACAATGGCCTCTTCTCATATGAGAGTCTGTTTCTGGAGAGTTCTGAGTGTGGCCAAGGAAACCCATGATTGCCTGTGGAAATTAGTGGCTGTATGAGGCATCTGAGACATGCCAGGAATGGTGTCAGCAAAAGAGGGAAGACATATTTTATAAGACAGATAAAAACTTTATTGGCCTAGAAATAGTTTCAGATCAATGTCCAAGTTGGGTGTAGGCCACCACCAATCACACCAGATAAGACATTTGACCACCTTATCTGAGGTAAAAAGTTGAGAACCCTCATCATCATATTCACAGCAGAAGTTTATGAAACTCATAAAATGTGATAACAACTAGTCTTACTGCAAAATGGAAACAATAATAGAGATGCCACGGTTTACTTAGACAAGTATCTTCATTCTGAGGCTGCCTTCTCTTATACTAGCACCATAGGGTAAGAGTCACAAGTAGACACTGATGTCCCAACTCAGCCCCTAGGTGACTGGGCCAGTCACTTAAAGTTCCTCATCCCAGCTCTCCTCTTTTGTTCAGTTGAGCTTCTGGGAGCATGAAGGAAAAGCATACTGGTAATTATCAAAGAATCAACCACAGAAGTATTGGATGTTCTTCCCATTAAACAAACTGAAAAATCAAGCTTCCCCCTACCGTCATCTCTGTTAGAGGGTCAGGTGGGTACATTTTATTAATAATTAATAGAAGGGGTATTGGGCAGAGACACCAAAAGCAAAGGGCCTATCTTTGTCCTGATATTGCCACAGACTCATTAGCTGATTCCAGCAAATCACCTATTCTCCTGGATTTCAAGTTCTTTATCTGGAAAGTGAGGAAATCAGACCACACAAAATTTCTGCCCATCTCAAAAATTTACTTCTTTGAGATATTTTTATTTATTCAGTCAAGCATTATTTAGGGAGGGCCTACGTTCACTGCACTGTTGCTCCATACATCTCAACTCAAAATCACTTCGCAGTCAAAGGCAGTTCAATTAATAGGAAATTTAAATATAAATATTTGAGTTTACCTTTTTGTAGTTCTTTTAAGACCTGAGCACCATATAAATGAGATAAAATTGACACTGAAAGAATATCAACTACTCCATCATACAGAGAAACAAAACTTGTTTTTGGAATACATATGTTATTATTATTATTATTTTGTATGCTCCTTGACTGCTCATGCTCATTCGAAATGTCTTAAAAGATGTGCTCTGCCTTCCTTTTGACAAAGAGCCACTCTCACCCCTGTGTCCAATTTGTCAGGCTGAGAAGGCTGTGCCTTGCTTTCTTATTTCATTAAGTAAAAGCCCCACAGGTGACATGAGAGGCCTGTTCTGGAGTCATTCATCTCTCATAAGGACAAAGCTCTGGTATGTGCACAAGAGGAGATGGGGCAGCCACGTGGTTGCTAGGCATATCAAAAGTCACCAAGTGTTTTATAGCTTTTAGCAGCTTTTTACCCATCCTATTCCAAGACATCCTTTGTGTCTTTAAATTTATAGCATAAACAATGTCAACAGAAAAATTACAGA